>NC_000006.12:159767759-159919274 GCF_000001405.40 Homo sapiens
TTCCCTAGATAGAAGCTGATTCAGCCCAGCCATTGCTGAGGTTCAGGAGGAGGCAGGCTAAAGGTAACAAAAATAATCGGAGTGATTTTGATGGGATGATACTGACATCTGTGTAGTACTTTACCAGGTGCTTTTGTACATGTGTTCACAACAGCCCCATATAGGGTAGATGATACCATTCCCAGTTTACAGGTAAGGAAACTGAGGACCAGAGCCAGCATTCAAATACAACTCTTCCGACTCTAAGTCCAATCAATGACTCTTTCCATTCTAATATACCTGCTGTTGAGTTGGTGAGAGTTAAGACTGGCCGCTACTCAGAAATCCCTCCCCATCATTTAGTTAGCCTGATTATTCTCACTGTAGACATTATGTCATCCATTGAAATAGGTAACACATTGTTAGCTTTACTTAAGCCCTTAGAGGATTTCTTCATTTAACAGATAATTAATTGCCTCGATGGAAAGAATAAATGGAATTCTTAAGGAAACAGGACACAGAATGGGTAGGTTTGAGGGAGAATTGAAAATGGGTAGGTAGGAGAGTAATCGTTCCCAACAATAGGAAAGATGAAGTCTGCTAATTCCAGGGGTCTTTAGACCTTGGCCTGGCTGAGGACCTAGAACTGGGGAGAAGGGCTGCAAAGGGGCCTAGATGAAGACTTAGGAAATACTAGATAGTTTTGAGTTGTATTCTGGGGAGAAGACTAATTGCAACTAAGCCTAAATCCATTTTTATTTCTGACTTCTAGGCTCCTCACTTGGCTTACTTGAGAACAGGAGTAAAGATAGGTGAGATGCCACTGACTGACAGTATACTCTGTGATGGTCTTACAGATGCATTTCACAACTGTCATATGGGTATTACAGGTAAGGCAGACATGGCTGAAACTGTATTAGCTTTAAAAAGGTTAAAAAGACCATATACTAATCTGCTTCTTAGGTGCTTTCGTCCTTATGGCCAGAGACTGTCTTAAGGATTTTTATATCTCTTCTTTGATTAACTGAAGTGAAGTAAGTATTCTCTTCTTTGTGAACTCTTGATTATCAGAGAATGTTAGAAGTGGGAAGTACCTCAGAGTTCTTCTGGATCAACCCCTCATTTTACCAAATGAAGAAACAGGGCCCACAAATAGTGCTTCTGTGGCAGAGGTAGTGACAGAGATAAACCAGTTGTTTTTTTGGTACCTAGCTGTACTTTTTGTACTACACAATTGGGTTATTGGTCATTCATGCTGAAGGGTCCTGTGGTCTAAGTTTAATGGCAAAGCAACTGGGAAATCAAAAGCACTCTTGTCTTTAGTATACATGTAAAACTTAAGAAACAGAATAGACATTTTAGAGTTAAAGAATCAAACCCTGAGAAGTTAAGCACCTTGCTCAAATGCATGCAGCAATGGCTCTGGTTTTATGTAACACATAAATATGTGAAAAAGGTAATGGGGAAAAGTACAAGATTCCAAGAGGGAACTGTGTGCATGAATGCTAGGAAGGAAGGAAGGGCTTAGGGATATGGGAAGCAATGAGAAGCTCAAGGCATCTTGACCACTTCTCGACTTACAGCCACAACAGAGAAGGCTATAAAAACACAGGCAGACAATGGAAGACACTGTGTGACCAACTGCCTCAACCATAACTAGAGGTGGTCATTAAAAATTCAGATCCCGAGCCCTTTCCAAGGTGTACTGTGGATTGAATGGTACTCTTCCAGCCTCCAGAACTGTAAGAAAATAAATTGCTCTTCTTTAGAAAAAAAGAAAAGAAAAAAGGCTCAGGTCATGATGGAGTAATTGACAAAGATTAGATTTCCTACTATAAACAAGCATAAAACTTGTGAAAATATATAAAGCCACTGTTTTATGTATGTCAGGTTTTGACTAATACTCATGTAAGACTGAGATCCTTGAGAGAAGGGAAAACCCCACTGTCACTGTCTCTACCCAGGGCACTTCCCAAACTGTGTTATGGAGAGGCAGAGCCTAAGCTGGAAACAGTGGTCTCAGTGATCTGAAGAAGCAGAGAATTTGGGGCTTCTGAGATGGCTGGAGTTTGTGGGGCAGAATAAGGGGGAGAAGAAAAAAAGAGCTCCAGAAATCTGCAAAAGGTTCCCCTTAAGTCTTTGATCAAATACTAAGCTTGTAGATAACAGCTTACAAGGCCTAGTAGAAAAGAGCTGCAAAGGAGAGGTGAACTGGAGATTTTATAGATTACTAGGAGATAAAAGTTCTGGACAAGCGAGTGGAAACCTTACTGAACTCCTTGGACACTCCATTGACATCTCAGAAAGACCACAGTTTAGGGGTAGGGCCAAAGCCATAGAGTAAAAGCTACTCTAGACCCAAACTAATAAGCTTAAAAACAAGCCTCAAAAGGATCAAGGTGATTTGCCAGTATTTTGACTGCTTGTGGAAACAAAACTCAATATATTCTCTAAAGATAATAAAATCTCTATGTCCAGTTATGTAGCAACTATAATGTTCAGCATGCAATGAGAACTTTCTAGATACACAAAGAATTAGGAAAATATAGCTTACAACCAGGGTGGAAAAAAACCACAACAGTCAACAGACCCTGCAATACTAGAATTATCAGATGAGGATCTTAAAGGCTCTATTTTACATATGTTTAAAGATACAAAGGAAAATATAATCTTCATAGAGGAATAGATGTGGACATCTCAGGAGTAAAAGGAAAAAATATAAACAAGAACCAAATAGAAATTCTAGAACTTGCAAAGTACACAATCTGAAATTAAGAATTCACTGGGATGGGGCCGGGCATGGTGGCTCGCACCTGTAATCCCAGCACCTTGGGAGGCTGAGGTGGGAGGATCACTTGAGGCTGGGGGTTTGAGACTAGGCTGAGCAACATAGTTAGACCTCATCTCTAAAAAAAAAGAAAAAAAAATTCTGAATGGCCTTAACAGCATCTTGGAGACAGAAGAAAAAGGGTCAGGAAGTTTGAAGATAGATCATATACACGACCTGAAGAACACAGAGAAAAATAATGAAGAATAAATGAACAGGCCAGGCACGGTAGCTCACGCTTGTAATCCCAGCACTTTGGGAGGCCAAGCCGGGTAGATCATCTGAGGTCAGGAGTTCAAGACCAGCCTGGCCAACATGGGGAAACCCTGTCTCTACTAAAAATACAAAAATGAGCTGGATGTGGTGGCCCATGCCTGTAATCCCAACTACTTGGGAGGCTGAGGCAGAAGAATAGCTTGAACCCAGGAGGTGGAGGTTGCAGCAAGCTGAGATCACACCATTGCGCTCCAGCCTGGGTAACAAACAAAACTCTGTCTCAAAAAATTAAATTAAATTAAATTAAATTAAAAAATAGGCCAGGTGTGGTGGCTCATGCCTGTAATCCCAGCACTTTGGGAGGTCAATGCAGGCAGATCACCTGAGGTCGGGAGTTTGAGACCCACATGACCAACATGGAGAAACTCCATCTCTACTAAAAATACAAAATTAGCCAGGCTGGTGGCGCATGCCTGTAATCCCAGCTACTCGGGAGGCTGAGGCAGGAGAATCGCTTGAACCTGGGAGGCGGAGGTTGCGTTGAGCTGAGATCACGCCATTGCACTCCAGCCTGAGCAACAAGAATGAAACTCCGTCTCAAAAAAATAAAATATAAATGAACAGAGCCTTGGTGGTCTGCAGGACAAAATAAATAGGACTAGCATGCATGGAATAGGAATCTCATACATAAGGAAGAGAGAGAATGGGGCAGAAAAAAACTGAAGAAAATTTCCACATTTGGTGTGAAAAGAAGTTCAAAGACCAAGATAGACAAGGGAAAAATTACACCTTAGCAAATTGTAGCAAAAAGTTAAAAAAAGATCATGCCACTGCACTCCAGTCTGGGCAACAGAGTGAGACTCTGTCTCAAAAAAAAAAAAAACAAGAGTGAAAGTGAAGAGCCATTTTTAGATGAAGGAAAATGAATTGCCTGCACACCTACACTACAAGAAATACTAAAGGAGCCAGGCATGGTGGTATGTGCCTGTAGTCCCACCTACTCAAGAGCTGAGGCAAGAGATTGCTTGAGTCCAAGAGTTTGAGTCTAGCCTGGGCAATGCTATCATAGTCTACTATGATTGCACCTGTGAGTATCTACTGCATTCCAGTCTGGTTAACATAGTGACACAACAACAACAACAACAACAAAAGAATAGCTTCCAGCCGGGCGCGGTGGCTCACGCCTGTAATCCTAGCACTTTGGGAGGCCGAGGCGGGCGGATCATGAGGTCAGGAGATTGAGACCATCCTGGCTAACACGGTGAAACCCCATCTCTACTAAAACTACAAAAAATTAGCCAGGTGTTGCAGCAGGTGCCTGTAGTCCCAGCTACTCTGGAGGCCAAGGGAGGAGACTTGCTTGAACCTAAGAGGCGGAGGTTGCAGTAAGCTGAGATATTGCACCATTGCACTCCAGCCTGGGCAACAAGAATGAAACTCCATCTCTAAATAAATAAATAAATAGTGTAAATAAATACTGTATAAAATGCAAAGCACTCAGAATAGCCAAAACAATTTTGAAGTCAGAAAATAGCACTTACATGCTCTGATTTTAACATTACCTATAAAGCTGTTGTAAACAAGACAATGTGGTTTTGGCATAAGGACAGAGAAAGAGAACAGAGTTCAGAAATAGACCCAGACTTATGCTTGTTTTCAACAAAGGCATCAATGGAATGAAATGGAGAAATTAAAGTCTTTTCAACAAATGGTGCTGGAATAACAGATTACTCACATGGGAAAGATGAACCTAGATCCCTACCTCACACCCTATATAAAAGCTAATTTGAGATAAATCGTGGATTTAAAAATAAAAGCAAAAAATGTAAAGCTTCTAGAAGTATATATAAGAGAATAGCTTTTACAGGGTGCAGTGGCAGGTGCCTATAGTCCCAGCTACTAGGGAGGCTGTGGTGGGAGGATCACTTGAGGCCAGCAGTTTGAGGTTGTATAGTATACTATGGTTGATTTTGCCTGTTAGTAGCTGCTGCACTCCAGCCTGGTCAACATAGTGAGACATCATCCAACAAAAAAAAAAAAAAAGAAAGAAAAACAGCTTGATAAGTAAAGACAAGACATAGAAAGCAAAGCAATAACTTTTTTGTGTGTGTGTGTGGAGACGGGTCTCACTCTGGCACCCAGATTGGAGTGCAGTGGCTCAATCTTGGCTCACTGCAACCCCCACCTCAGCCTCCTGAGTAGCTGGGACCACAGGTACTCACCACCATGCCTGGCTAATTTTTTGTATTTTTTGTAGAAATGGGGTTTCACCATGTTGCCCAGGCTGGCCTCAAACTCCTGAGCTCAAGGGATCCTCCCACCTCAGCCTCCCAAAGTGCTGGGATTACAGGTGTGACCCACCAAACCTGGCCAATTCTCACATTTGTAGAAGAGAGTTACAAATACGGAAAGGGAGAAGAATGTAGCTTGTGGTGTTAGGTTGCATTTTGGAGAACTCAAAATGCAGTATGAACTCAAGGTGTTACCATGAGTGTGTGTGTATATGTAAAATTATAAATAATACATATGGAAGTTTCTACTGAACAGACCTAGAAACAATGACAAACCAGTAACAACAAGCAGTCCTGACACCCAGATCTTCTAAATACATTTATCCACTAAAAGGAACTAAGGTTGTTTGGAGAAATGGCCCTTTCCAAGGCTAGGGAAAAAATGCTAAAAAATTAAGGACATGCTCAGGGACATGTTGAAAGCACACAGGAGGCAGCCTACGGGGCTTCCACTTTCCTGTAGTGGAATTTTGAACAATTTGAGCATCAGAGTCAGTAATGATAGTAATGGGTTGTAACTGCCCAAATTTTGAACAATTTCAGCGTGCAAATAAGTTATGATAGTAATGGGTTGTAACTGCCTAAATTTTGAACAATTTCAGCGTGCAAATAAGTAATGATAGTAATGGGTTATAACTGCCCAAGTATTGAAAAATTTCAGCATCAAAGTAAGTAATGAGAGTAATGAGTTATAACTTATTCAATAAAATGAAAATGTATGAGTCCATCCTGATATAAATAACTGAATAAATGGGAGAAAAGGAAAAGGTTTTCTTTGTGGTAAAATGCCAATTAATATCTTACCAATAGAAGGAATGTTGGAGTTAGAAAGTCATGAATGAATGCTAAAACTAGTGGGTGAAAATATGATGGGGAAGAAGATATTTGGATAATCCAAAAAGAACCTCTGATAAATTATTGATTACTTATAAATGAAAAAATGGTACCTTTAAAAGCTAGAAACCTGGTGAATACCAAACCATTTTAACCAAGTGATCAAAGATAACATCACCTGGGATAAACTGATTGTCATTTGTGTCCTAATAAGACTCACTGAGAAAAATCATACTATCATTCAGTGGTATACCTGCCTTTTGGCAGAATCTTAATCTAATTCTGAGGAAACATCAGACAAATCAAAATTGATGACCCTTAACAAAAGAACTCGCCCATGTTCTTCAAAAATATCAAGCTTAAGAAGCATAGTCTGAAGAACTGTTACAGACAAAAGCAAACTAGAGAGATTGATAGTTGTACAATGCATGCTTCTTTATTGGCTCAAATAAAGGAGCTAGAAGGACATTACTGAAATATAGGTGAAATTTGAATGTGGACCAAGGATTAGATAATAGTGTTTGATTCATGTTAAATTTCCTGATTTTTGTTTTGTTTTGTGAGACAGGGTCACCCAGGCTGGAGTGCAGAGGCACAATCATGGCTCACTGCAGCCTTGAACTCCTAGGCTCAAGTGATCCTTCTGCCTCAGCCTCCCAAGCAGCTAGGACTACTAGCTACATGGCACACACACCATGCCCGGCTAAATTTATTTTTAATGGAGACAGGGTCTCGCTGTGCCCAGGCTGGTCTCAAACTCCTGGGCTCAAGTGATCCTCCCACCTCGGCCTCCCAAAATGCTGGGATTACAGGTGTGAGCCGCCACACTTGGCCCAATTTCTTGAGTTTTATAACTGTGCTTATGTAAGAAAGTGGCCTTGTTTTGGGGAAGTATACACTGAAATTAAAATTTAAGAGTAAGAAGGCATTGTATCTCCAACTTTCTCTCAGATGGTTCAGAAAGAAAATATTAAAGCAAATGGAGGGAAAATATAAATGGTGACTCTGGGTGAAGGAAATTTCTGTAAGTTTACAATTATATAGAAAGGGAAGGAGAGAAGTATGACTCCTGAGAGTCACTGCAACATTTCCAAACCAACTGCCAGTGGCAGGCAGGGCCACCCCACACAGAGCATTGCACAGGCCACCATGAGCCTGCTAGCATATGTGGTCAGTCAGTGCTTGGTCAAATGTGGACGACTTGAGCTATCAAATGCCAGTTCATGAAAATGTTAGTTTTTTGCTGTTTTTCTCCTTTCCCAGCTGAAAATGTAGCCAAAAAATGGCAAGTGAGTAGAGAAGATCAGGACAAGGTTGCAGTTCTGTCCCAGAACAGGACAGAGAATGCACAGAAAGCTGGCCATTTTGACAAAGAGATTGTACCAGTTTTGGTGTCAACTAGAAAAGGTGAGTATATCATAGTGGTTTAAACATCAACCTATTTATAGGTAAGAGTAACATCTAAAAGAGTAATACATAGGAATCTTTAGAAATTATATCTTAGTTATGTTTTTCAGGTTGCAAATATATGTCCTGGATACATGAATGTGGGGAGGGGGTATGCTGGGTTTACAGGACACGGTAACATGGGACCTATGTCAGCACTCAAGCACTCTTGGTTCCAGAGCGTCCATGACCACTGTGCACACACAGCAGGTTTCATGAGAAGCTGGAGCACTGGCTCATGGTTGTTAGGAGGCACCAGCTGACCTGTTTCCTGTATAGGCTCAACCTCCTCAGAAGTGGACACCCATTACTTCTCGCTGTTTCTGTGTGATCTCCATTTCACATTTCTAAAGGGTGGATCTTTTGGGGTCACTCGCTATTTTCTAATACAGAATGCTCCCGTCAAGCTCCCTTATTGATAACTGATATCTCTTATGTCCTGCCAGCAGTGCACGATTGGCTTTGAGACTGCCTGATCCACTCACTCGTAACCAGCCAAGTACTATGACCCAAACTATAGCAGAATTTGGCACAAACAGGTCCCTGGTAGCTACTTTCCTCAGGAAGGCCTATGGATTTGGAAAACACAGGTGTCTCATAAGGACATACTCATAAATTGTTTTCATGTACAATAATTCTTGTGTGTACTTTCCTCCTGTTGTCATCAAAGTGGTCACATATTAAAACTTTTCTGCTAAATATGAATCCTCATGTTTAATGGCAGAGAACCCACCATTCCCAGCACACTTACTTCTGTCTCTGGACTAATCTTGAGTAATTGGTTTTCCTTTGCTTAGGTCTTATTGAAGTTAAAACAGATGAGTTTCCTCGCCATGGGAGCAACATAGAAGCCATGTCCAAGCTAAAGCCTTACTTTCTTACTGATGGAACGGGAACAGTCACCCCAGCCAATGCTTCAGGTTAGATTTTCTGAAGGACATCTGGGGGAATACTATGTTCTATAATGTCTACCGAGTGAATATTTTTCTCTTTATTTATATACAAAAGTACTATTTTTTGGGACAGGGACTCACTCTGCCAGCCAGGTTCGTGTGCAGCAATATGATCATTGCTCACTTGCAGCCTCAAACTCCTGGGCTCAAGTGAGCCCCCTGCCTTAACCTCCCAAGTAGCTGGGGGACTACAGGCATGAGCCACCACACCCAACTCAATATTTATGTACAAAATTATTCTTAAAACAGTTTAAGGAAACATGTCATTTCTCTGTATTTGATCATTGACTTAACCTATACTGAAAGAATTAATTTGGTTTCTTGACATCCCAACTAGACATACAAATGAAGAAGTAAATTAGGGAACTTCAGTTTATCTACCTTTGTATTTTTCCAGTACCAGAAACTCCCAATACCTCCTTGTGAAGCCCAGGCTTATTCTTCCATTTCCTGTCAGAGATCTCCCCTCCCCAACTGCTGTAATCCTTTTTTTTTCTTTTTGAGACGGAGCCTCACTCTGTCGCCCAGGCTGGAGTGCAGTGGTGCAATCTTGGCTCACTGCAATCTCCGCCTCCCAGGTTCAAGCAATTCTCCTGTCTCAGCCTCCTGAGTGGCTGGGACTACAGGCGCACACCACCACACCGGCTGATTTTTCTATTTTAAGTAGAGATGGCTTTCACCCTATTGGTCAGGCTGGTCTCAAACTCCTGACCTCAGGTGATTCACCCTCCTCCACCTCCCAAAGTGCTGGGATTACAGGCGTGAGCCACCACGCCCAGCCCCGACTACTGTAATCCTACCACTTTCTCTAGTTGGAAAGTTTTGTGGTCAATATATTGCCAAACATAATTTCTATGTAAAGTCTGTTGAATTATAGTAAATGCCTTAGCCAACAGGTAAAATCATTTAACTCATGTCTTCAGGTGGTAAAGAAGCCACAGATATGTAACTGAGGTTAATAAGCATGGTAGAAATTAAGTCACTCATATTTTACAGGAATAAATGATGGTGCTGCAGCTGTCGTTCTTATGAAGAAGTCAGAAGCTGATAAACGTGGGCTTACACCTTTAGCACGGATAGTTTCCTGGTCCCAAGTGGGTGTGGAGCCTTCCATTATGGGAATAGGACCAATTCCAGCCATAAAGCAAGCTGTGAGTATAACCCTATTCCCTTTTATGAAATTTGTCTTCCTGTTAGCCTTAAGTGAGCTTATTCATGTAGTTAGCTCTAGTCTTTCCCTACCAGAAGAGTAACCAAGAGCATTTATTTCTATTTTTGAGATAAGGTCTTGCTCTGTTGTCCAGGCTGGAGTGCAGTGGCACCATCATAGCTCACTGCAGCCTCAAAACTCCTAGGCTCAAATATTCCTCCTGCCTTAGCCTCCCATTACCTCGAACTACAGGTGCACCACGCCTTCTTCATTTCGTAGAGACAAGGTCTATGTCGCCCAGGCTGGTTTTGAACTCCTGAGTTCAATTGATCCTCTTGCCTTAGGCTCCCCAAGTGTTGAGATTTCAGGTGTGAGCCACTACCCCCAGCCACTGAGAGCATTTGGATCACATGCTTTCTAGGGGAACTGATTCTGTTACATTAGCCTTAGGTACACATAACAGATGCTACTGGTTCAAAATTTTAAGACAATTTAGAATTTCTAAGGGATCTTTTAGATCACACCCTTAACCTTTTGGATGGAATGGATGTCACTAAGGCAAAAATGTGTGAGAATGTCACTGTATTAACCTAAGAACAAACCAAAGTAGCAGTTACCAGTATCATGCAGCATATATTTATGTTGACAAAGAATGGTTTAACTTTAGCCTTTCCACCCAAGTTTAGACCTCTTTTCTATGAATCTTTCCTCTAGGTTACAAAAGCAGGTTGGTCACTGGAAGATGTTGACATATTTGAAATCAATGAAGCCTTTGCAGCTGTCTCTGCTGCAATAGTTAAAGAACTTGGATTAAACCCAGAGAAGGTAAAGATGCACAAGTAACCCTGAGAGCTTACCAGTGAATTTCACAATCCAATTTTAAGATAGTATCTTCTAGGTGTTGGCCATGTGGGTAATAGTTAAAGAAATACTAGTTACTAGGACTGAGTTCATTACTTCCCAAGGTTTAAAAAAAAAAAAAAAAAAAAAAAAAGACATTGGCTTACTTGGCATAAAAGGAACGAGGTAAGATAGGCAGGGATGAATTTTCACAAAGGTGTAAATTTATTCCTAAGCAGTTAAAATGAAAATTTGAGTTTGAAAGGGTAGCATGCTGATACATTAAGAGGAAAAAGACAAGTTTAAGATTTTAAACTGTGTCCACAGAAGAATAAACAATCTAAATCTTTTCTCCCCCGTTAGGTCAATATTGAAGGAGGGGCTATAGCCTTGGGCCACCCTCTTGGAGCATCTGGCTGTCGAATTCTTGTGACCCTGTTACACACACTGGAGAGAATGGGCAGAAGTCGTGGTGTTGCAGCCCTGTGCATTGGGGGTGGGATGGGAATAGCAATGTGTGTTCAGAGAGAATGAATTGCTTAAACTTTGAACAACCTCAATTTCTTTTTAAACTAATAAAGTACTAGGTTGCAATATGTGAAATCAGAGGACCAAAGTACAGATGGAAACCATTTCCTACATCACAAAAACCCAAGTTTACAGCTTGTACTTTACTTTAATGTGTAATACTCAACTCAAGGTACAAGACAATTGCATTTAACATTGTTATAAATAAAAGGAACATCAGATCAATCATTAAGGGCTCCAGAGTGAACAGCATCTTCATAACTTCCATGTTTATCATCTTTACTTTCTGGATGTAATTTAATAAGATCATCAATTCGAAGAATGGTGATTGCAGCTTCTGTTGCAAATTTCAAACTCTTAACTTTAACTATGGTTGGTTCAAACACCCCTGCTTGTTTGTTGTCTCGAGGTTTACCATTGCTCAAATCAAGACCAATCCTGCAATTAAGAAAGAATTATTTAACGGCCGCTTACAATTTCATTAGGTGGCCTATTAACTCCAGCATTTCATTCAAGTATTAAGGTTGATTTTTAAATCAGACTAGAGATCTTGTAGGTAGTCTTTCTACCAAAAGAAGCAGGGAGAGATTAGCAATCACAGTTAACGAAGACACACCAGTGCTAATAATTAGTCATTATCCCTTGAATTACAGTGACTGAACAACAAATGCTTGCTGTGAAGTTTTTCATGTTAAGTATTTGACAAGTCTGTTACTTATGTTTGCTGACATGTAATTGACTACTATCCTTTTTAATGCAACCTGTTCTGCAGAGGTTAACAAAGAGCGGGAAACCATGCTTACCATTTTAGATTTTTACGTTCTGGGTTAACCTGGGCCTCATTATGAAAAGCTCTTAATTTTGCAACCAGATCTGTGGAGTCCTGGGCAGCATTAACTGCTAGTGTATTGGGAATAACAAGAAGTGATCTTGCAAACTCTGCAATCGCAAGCTGTTCCCGAGACCCCTAGGAAAAGAAGAAAATTAGGTGACTTCACAAAAGGGAAAAAAAAAATTGAAGTCCACAGCTACTGCTCTCAGGCCTCTAAGACAAGAAATGACTGTTCTTACCATGCTGGTTGCATAGTTTTCAAGGTATATGGAAAGGGCTGCTTCTACAGCACCCCCACCGGGAACCACAGATTTTGACTCCAAAACTCTCTTCACTACACAAAGTGCATCATGTAAAGAGCGCTCCATCTCATCACACATGAAATCATTTGCCCCACGTAAGATAATCGATGCAGACGTACGAGCCTTAGTACTGTTCAAAACAAAAGTACAATTCTTGTAATAGCATTTTTAAAAATTTTTTTTTGCCAAGACCATCAATTTCTCAAAAAAAATGGCATTTTAATAAAATAAGTCTACATAAAGTTCCCTTAAGTCCTGCCTACACAGGATATTTAGATATACTATACAGAAACAATGTCTAGTCCCTGCAGAAGAGATGAAAATGGTTACTTCATCTCAATTTACAGTGGCCCAATGTTATTTTATCCCATGCGTATAACTGCTCGTATCACTGTGAGACTACAAGCAGCAAATAAATGGGAAGAAAACCTACTTTTACTTAACAAAATCGGTATAACTTTACAATTTTAGAAAGTGGCTCTTACTTTTTGATTAAGATCAGCTCATCATCACAAATTCTCTCCTGTACCACTTCTTCTGCCTGTCCCAACATTGCAGCTTCAAAAGTTTCTTCACCTTCCAAATTGGCCAGGGTTGACAGAATAGTTGCTAATAAGAGAGTTACAAAGGATCTGTGAATATTGCTCTTTCATGATTTTAATATCCTTGGACTCAGTAGCATTTGTGGTAAAAGTGCTATATTACAAGTTTAGAATTTAGTTAGGCAGCACACGGTAACTCCTTTTATCCTAAGATGGAACTGTCATTTTAGAAATGAACAAATTCAGTTCACAAATTTCCAACAAAATTTCTCCAGTTACATGAAAAATGGCTCTATAAATGTGTTGGTAGCACAAAGCATTAAGAGAATATAAATGTTTTTGAGCTGTTTTCTGTCAATATTCCAATGTAAAAAGACCTTTGATAGGATCAGGGATAATAAAAGTATTTTATGTGACAGCCAGCACAAGACATACCTCCAGAAGCTTTGGCAATGCGTTTAAGGTCCCTTTTTAAAACTCTTCTAACTGCCATAGCACCAGCCTCCACAAAATACTTCAGACACATATCATCAATTCCACCAGTGGTTAGAATAACATTGGCACCAGTTGCCAGGATCTTCTGAATTCTCTCCTTGGTGATATCTGATTCTCTGCAAAGTATTTTTGTAACCTGAGTTACCTTCTGTGATTTTTAAAAATAATTTAACTTCCATTAAGTATTTATCACAAGATAATCATAGATCAAATTGTATTATCCTTTGTTATCTCTGACCAGAATTTAAATTAGTCCAATTCATGGAAAATTTGAAGGAATTAAAAATTACCACTTAGCTCTCCCCAACCCAAATTTGAATTACTAATTGAGAACTATGGTTAAACAGGGAACACAGGTCCTGCCTTCAAGGATCTAGTGGGGAGAGGGATTACCAATCACACTCCAGGGCAAGTGTCACTAAAGTGGTATGCAGAGATTACAAGCACATAAAAGACATAAATTTAGCCTAGGAGGTGGACAATGAAGATGAGTCCAGGCCAAGTGCAGTGGCTCACGCCTGTAATCCCAGCACTTTGGGAGGCTGAGGCGGGCAGATCACCTGAGGTCAGGAGTTCGAGACCAACCTGGCCAACACGGTGAAACCGCCTCTACTAAAAATACAAAAAATTAGTTGGGCCTGGTGGTGGGCGCCTGTAATCCCAGATACTCAGGAGACTGAGGCAGGAGTATCACTTAAACCCGGAAGGCGGAGGTCGCAGTGAGCCGAGACCGTGCCACTGCACTCCAGCCTGGGCAACAAGAGCAAAACTCCGTCTCAAAAACAAACAAACAAACAAAAACAGGAGTCCAGAGTTGAAAGCACAAAAGAAGGCAGAACCAGAAAAGTGAAAAACCTTGCAGGTTACACCAAACAATCTAGATACTAAGCTTAATATCTCTAAGCAAGACTAGTATATCATCTGTGTTTTCAAAAGGATTCCCTGATTATCAATGTGGAAACTGCACTGAATGGCTGAAGACAAGAAGATAATAACATGAGATATAAGCTGAAAGACAACCTAAACAGAAAAGTCAAATTTTATGGCTTGGGTGACTCCTGGAGTAAAATAAATAACAAGAGTTTTGGGGGCAGGATGGGAAATGAGAGTTTAGTTGAGGACAAGATTAAGTTTGAAGTCTCTGCTGTTACTCAGGTGAAGCTCCCAGGAGGCAGTCACTTACATCATGGAAACCATAAACTATGGGAGATCCAGATTTGAAGAGTCAATATGAGTGAAGCCATGTGAATAGATCATTCGAAGAATTTTTAAAGTAAAATGAATTACAGATCAACCTCAAAAGCAGCTTGTCTACTAAACAAGTACTGTGTGCTACACACTGTTATATAAACTCATGGTAAAAACTGTAATAAGCCCCAGGAAGAAAAAATACAGGAAGTTACAACAGAATATAATTTAGATTGAAGAAGAAAGAAAAGCTTCTCTAAGAGACTAGCTTGGGTGTGTTTCTACAACAGTCTAGGCAAGAAAATGAAAAGTAGGTAAATTTAATTTGGAGGTAGAAATCAAGCGGTCTTGGTGACAGATTAGGAGAAAAAGTGTTGGTAAAAAGGAGGAGTTAAGGACATTTCCTAGTTTTCTGCCTGTGTGAAGGACTCCCCATCACTAAAATGGTCAAAAGCAGATTTGCGGTATTATCACAAGTTCAGTTTTAGACATGTTCACTTTGAGATGCTTGAAAAGCATTCTACTAGATAGAGGTATGTGTGTTTGGAGCTTAGAGAAACAGCTGAAAGAGTCTCTGGCATAGAGAGATAATACATGAAGTCATGGGAACAAAGGGGCTATCCTGGAGAGTATTATGACATGGTCCAGACAAAGCAGCATCACAAAGCCTTCCATCCCCGAAAGCATTTCAAGAAGGACATAATCAAAGGGTTGCTAAAGGTCAAGTAAGAGGAAGGCTGAAAATGTCTTCCGAATTTCACGCTAGAGACCTTAACATGCAGTCCCTCAAATGGAGAACAGGGCTGAAAAGGGATGAGAAGAAAAGCACCAGAGAAGTTTTGTGTAGTAAACCACTCATGACATCTGCCTGTAAAGATGTACGATAGGGAGTACCTATAGCACAAGGATGTATGAAGAAGCTTGAAGGACAAAAGAGCCACAGGAAGAATCCAGGAAAGAGCATAATTAGTTGAAGATGCAAGTATGAAACAAGAATCAAAGAAAAGGCTCTAGAGCAGAAGGAAACAGACTCTAGAACACTTACTGTAGAGGGACTGGCTTTGATGGAAGAAAGGACACTTTGTTGTATGAGGAAGGAAGGAAAAAAGAACACCCGTGCAGACTGATTTAAAAGATGACAGCACATTTCTTACTCTTGGCAAAGCTTTCTTGTAGGTCTAACTACTGTTTAAACTATTTTTTTTTTTTTTTTTTTTGAGACAGGGTCTCGCTGTCACCCAGGTTGGAGTGCAGTGGTACAATCACAGCTCACTGCAGCCTCAACCTCCTGGGCTTCAGATTCTTGCCACCTCAGCCTCTCAAAGTGTTGCGATTACAGGCATGAGCCACTGTGCCCAGCCTAAACAATTTATTGTTTTAAGTGACTGTCAGGCAGTCAAATCTATAGCAATGGTCACACTACCTCCACCATTAGCTCTTCTGGCATGCCAACCACTAATATCACCTGCACCTCCAGTATCTAGCAAACAGTAGGTTACAGTCAATACTATACTGCTGAGTTCTGTACTGCTTTGAGGAAATTAGATTCCTGTCTTTTACATCTTTAATATTAATAGACTCATACAATCAAAATTCCACAAAAAGGCCGATTTTCATATAGGTTGTATAACCCCAAATCCCTCTAAAAACACCACCAGGCTAATTTTTCTGGAAGTAAAATAGTTTGACTTGGCTAAAAATGTTAAAGTCCTCCAAGACACTCACACTTAAAAGGCCAAAAATAATCTCTCAACATACCTCTGTCTAATTTGGTCCAGTTTTTCAGGGTCTGTAATGACCACCTGTACACCAAGCTTCATTTTTGTTTTTTGCAGGCTGAAGTCAAGGCAAGCAATTTTTGCATTTACGATTCTCTTGGGCATGCCTACAATTGAACATAAGATTAAGTTAATACGTCTATCCTTAAAAGCATAATAAAGAGTACCTATAATCGATTGTATGTAAACACACAAATTTAGACTAATTCATTGCATTTTATCTTAGAAAAATTTTATGGCATTAAATGCACGTAATTTCTTTTAATTCACATTCCTTCTACCATGTTGTATGTGCTTTAAATTACAAAAAGATGTACTGCACATAATCCACAAAAAAACATTTTTTATTTTTTTTTTTTTTTGAGACGGAGTCTCACTCTGTAGCCCAGGCTGGAGTGCAGTGGTGTGATCTTGGCTCACTGCAATCTCCGCCTCCCAGGTTCCAGTGATTCTCCTTCCTCAGCCTCCCAAGTAGCTGGGACTACAGGCAGGTGCCACCATGCCCAGCTAATTTTTGTATTTTTTAGTAGAGATGAGGTTTCACCATATTGGACAGGCTGCTCTCAAACTCCTGCCCTCGTGATCCACCTGACTCAGCCTCCCAAAGTGCTGGGATTACAGGCATGAGCCACCGCGCCCAGCCAAAAGAAAAGCTAGTTTTAATCTGTAGCAATCTCATTCTATAAACCAAATCCCAAACCTTACCCTGGGATCCCACCACACAGTTGAGTGCATAGCCACTGATGAGCATACTCTCCATTTGACTTCTCCCATGGGCTTTCAAAATATTAACAGAGTTGACTGGATAGCGTGGCTGGCCTCTTATGTCTGTGTATTTAATAGCAAGTACAGCATCTACTACCATGTTAGCAAAGAAATCACCATTTCTACGCCAAAAGTTAAGGACAGTAACAGGTTTGGAATGGACAAAGGGTACACACGTGAAAAATCAAGGGTAATTTCAAGGGACTTCCTTTTAGTAATCTAATCTATTAAAGCAGCAAGCATTACTTGTCACCAAAATGTTACAACATTATCACTATCTGCAATTCATATCACTTTTAGACATGCTTTTTATTACCTTTTCACCCTAAAAAAGCAGGGAAGGCAACAGGTAATTTCAATACAGCATTACTCCTCTCTATTGATATCAATTTGCATAAAATTGGTTATTCAAAATTTTATTGCACAAAATTGATACTGCTGCTACTACGCACGCGTGCGCGCAACACATGCGCACACACGCACCCACTCCCGAGACAGGGTCTTGCTATGTTGCCCACATTGGACTGGCACTCCTGGGTTCAATTAATACTCCTACCTCAGCCTCCTTAGTAGCTGGGACTACAGGCACATACCACCATGCCCATCTCAAAGTCTTATGCTTTAAAAAGTCTAAATTTTATCTGACAACCACAAGGATACATTCCAATGATTTTGGAAGACATGGATGTCTTAGCAGCATTAATCAGGCAATCTCTTCCCAGTTCATCTGTGTTAACAATTAGGTTTTCATTGATATAACGCACTGCTTCCCTGTTTAAAAGTGTGGGGGAGAAAAACGCTTATAAAGTCACTACTCAAACTCTTTGCATTCATCATGCTTAACACAGAGCCAAAATGTCGTAAGTAATAATATCCGTTCAGCCATTTCATATAGGAGGAGGACATGAAAAAACCCTCCCTCTTCAGATCATGGCAAGTTTAATCTATCCCATAAGCATAGCCACTAAAATCTATTATTAGGAGAAAATGTGGTAGTCAAATGAGAAAAAAGATACTGGTCCAAGTTTTTAACTTCAAATATTACTACTTAAATGCTAAAACATTTAAATTGAAGGTTTTCAAATTAAAATTTAGTTATTAATCAAAACGTTAAGACAACACAGTTTACAACTATTACATCAAAAAAAATTTCTCTGAATGCAAACAATCTTACTTGCAAGCAAGTCGATAGCCACTAATAACTGATGTGGGATGAATTTTCTGTTTGACTAATTCATCTGCATTTTTTAGGAGTTCTGCTGCAATAATAACCTGTTGAGAAAACATTCACTGGTCTGAGTGTGCCGGATATTCAACATGTGCAATACATATGGAATGACACTAAAATGGCCATATATTATTAACCAAAATGGTAGTGATGAAATGAATTAACTGGTTATTAGAAACCTGGGCGTGAAGGGAGAAGAACGCTACAAAACACTCCAAGTCCTCCACGTTACTCATAAATTCTTGGAAACTGCCACTTTAAGCAAAACAATGGACAGCAATTTCTCAAATACAGTTGTTTATTGTAACGCTGATGGGGGGAGGAAAACTTGTTTTTTTATACATCATCTTTCCTCTTAAAGTCAGTTTCCATGAAGCCACTGTGGATGTTCAGTGAGGTCTTATTGTATTATAAATGCAAATGGCCAAAACTGGGTAGGAGCCAGAAAAATGTTCTAAGAAACTAGTTCAGCAATAAGAAACTAGTTCATCAATACAACCGTAAAAGACAACACATCTATTACCTTTAGAAAAAATGCTCAACAGAAGCTAAACCGAGTGTGACTATTCATATGACCTATATTAAGCTATTATTTTATTTAAAAAAGATAGTTCTTCAAGTTGATAAAACACTAAGAAATATTTTTAAAGCAAAAAGACTGTCAGCTTCTTATGGAAGGAAAACTACATTTGTTAAATCACATTATCGTAAGTTAGACAAAGATCATATTCATATTTTAGGAGTAGATTCCATTCTTTCATGGCTAAAGTTTAATCTAGAAATACATTTTCCCCACAAACTATCTAGTTTCTCCAGAATTAACATCTTTCTCACCAAACAATAGTGTTTCTACTATACCAGCATGCTGGATGATCTATGAAGAGTTTATACTGTGTATCACATTTACTGACTCGGTAAGATCACACTGTCATATCATGATGTATTTATTAATTTCTCACACTCCCATTTTGAATTCCTGAGATTACCTGTCAGGATTTAAAAAATAGAACAGGCTGAGTGCAGCTCATGCGTGTAATCCCAGCACTACAGAGGCCGAGAAGGGAGGATCACTTGAGGCCAGGAGTTCAAGACCAGCCTGGGCAACATAGCGAGACCCTGTCTCTTAAAAAAAAAAAAAAGAGGTTTTTAATTAGTTGCTTGTGGTGGCACATGCCTGCAATCCCAAGCACTCTGGGAGGCTAAGGCAGGAGGATTGCTTGAACCCAGGAGTTCCAGGCTGCAGTGAGATATGACAGCACTGCAGCACTTCAGACTGTGCTACAGATGGTCTCTTAAAAATAATAATATAAAAACATTGTTTCTCCCCCAGATTGGTAACATTTTATCCTCCAAATAATCAGAAAAGTTGAGAGCTTTCCAAGTCTCAAGGGGTGATGGGGGAGGAAACAAGACTTTTGAGAGACCATAAAAAAATCTGTGTGATGTCTGAATACTGCCATAAAAGGAAAAATAAGCCCTCAAAACTTGTGAATACCAACATTTAAAACAATGGGGCTATGTCAAATGAACTCAAATTCTTTCCTACTTAAACTGTACAAACTAGCTGTAACTATCAACTTACAAATTTTGTTTCTGAATCTGTACCTAAGAAGCTTATTTCCCCTCTTAAATGTGTAACTTCTTTTGTTTTTTCTTCTTGCTCAATCTTCTGGGCATTCAGAATATGTAACTTATTTCTGACACAGCACAAATGACCCACTTATGGCTTCAACTTTCTGAAAGTCGGTCGTTTTTAGAAAAATGATCATTCTTTAGCCAGTCTACCTACCACTGAAGTAGTTCCATCTCCAACTTCTTTGTCTTGCAGATCAGCCAGCTCACAAAGAACTTTAGCTGCAGGATGTTCTACCTCCAGTAACTTCAGGATGGTTGCACCATCGTTAGTAATGGTTACATCCTAAGAAATTCGCAGGAAAAAATATGAACCACTTATAGAAATCAACACAGCCCCATTATAATACACGTTCACCTTTAATATCACCTTCCAGTACGTGGATTCTGATAAAGTCAAAGAAAGAACATAGCAAAACACTGAAGATAGTTTTACTTTAAGGAAACTAACACAACAGTTATGTGTACTTACACCAATATCATCCACCAACATTTTATCCAAGCCAACTGGACCAAGAGAACTTTTTACAATATTGGCAATCGAAGCTGCAGCCATAACTGTAGACAATCAATTAAAAATAAAAAAGAAATGAGGATAAGCCACAACTCTGAAAGACAGTAATTTCAGCCTAAAGGTAAATGACATCCAACAGCCCCCGTATTTCCCAAATCTACAAATCTGTGTTAATTATTTAAAAACCACCTACTAAGAGTGTAAATGGGGCCAGACACTGTGGCTCACAGGTGTAATCCCAACACTGCGAGGCCGAGGCAGGAGGATCGCTTGATGCCAGGAGTTTGAGACCCCTTTGGGCAACATAGCGAAACCCATTTCTACAAAAAATAAAAACAAAGCCGGATGCGGCGGCGCGGACCTGTGCTTGGAGAATGCAGTGAGCTATGATGGCACTCTCGTCTGGGCGACAGGTGGGACCCTGTCCCTAAACAAAGCGAGCCTATTTGGCACAGCTTTGATGCGGGGTGGAATCTGATGGCGGGGAAAAAAAAAAAAAGTAATAACCACCAATTTCATGCTCTGCCACTTCGTACAGCTATACCAGCCTTTTCCTTCAGATTCTGCAAGTTTTTTGCTCATTAAAACTCTCTTTATCTGTGAGGAGAGAAATCGGTAGTCAACGGGGAAGGTGGTGACTTTCAGATTTGTTTACGAAAAAAATTAGGAATCTATCAAGAAACAGTAAGCTCTGTAGGTATCCAAAGGCCTGACAGCAAACGCTCTGCTAAGTTAGCGCTGCCGTCTCCTGGGGTCAATGCACTCGAGTGGCGTTTCCTGGGCTAACTCTACTGTAAGAAGCTGTCAACCCGGATACGGCTGGACGCCGGACGCCCGACCTCGACTGCAGCTGCGGGCGGACAGGGCACCGGGCTCATCCGAGGGCGCGCGGATGGACCTACTCTTTTTCTGGTAAATGGTCCTAAAATAAAACCTGGCGTTTAACATGGACACTCAGGGGGTCGCCCTGAAACAAAAGGGGGTGCGAGGCGTGGCCCGCACGTGCGAGCCCGGGAGGCCCGCTTTCCCGCGGAGGGCGCGTTTCCAACGCCGCCCCGGACACCACATCCACGCGTTGCCGGTCTCAAAACCCTGCCGCGCGCGGCGGGGCTCCTCCTCGCTGTGGGAAAAGTGGGGCCACAGCGCCCTGCCCCAGAGAACGGCGGGTGGGCTGGGTCCGGCTGCGGGGCCCCGAGGCCCTTTCTGCGGAGGTAAAGGAGAGAAACGAGGGCAGCCGGGGTCCGGTCGCGGTGGGACTCGGCCCTCCCCGGCCGCAAACCCGACCCAGGCCCGGCCCGCCCTTACCGTTTTGGGAGCGGATCGTTTCCCCAGTGCTGCGGTCACCGAACACGGACAAAGGCCCCTCCATCTTGACGGCAGCGATACACGTCGAATTCTGCTTACACCGCGGGCAACCAGTATCGCGGCCCCTCGGCCGACCGGCGACCACAGCAGTGGCTGCGACGGCGTGGAGCGTACCCGAGCGATGTCCCAGGAGCTACTGGGTAACACACCACCCCACCCGCTTCCCGGCTGCCCCGGCCCGGCCGCGGGGCACGGCGGGAAGGAAAAAGAGGCAGGGACAACAGGGAGAGAAACAGGACTGTGACGGAAGTGAGGCTCCGGGGAAGGGGCGGGGTCGGCATTTTTGTCCAATTAGATAGCCGATGGGAAGGGCGCGAAAGCGGAGAACGGAAGTCGGATGTTGGACCGCTGGGAAGAGGTTGAACCTTCGCCTCAAACGATGTTGCGCAGACGCAGTGGGCCATTCTAGTGCCTTCTAGAAAAGGTTGTAAGAAGGGTGGAGCTTGGAGCTGGGGTGTAACTGGAGGGGCGGGCCCTTCTCCAAGTTAGAGTTGGGGTTCTGAGCGAGTCGTGCGTTTTAGGTTTAGTGTCTTTTCCTTGTCCCTGCTCGGGGAGCGTGAGGCAGATCGGCCGGCTTTGCTCCAGGCCTCAGGAGTGTAAGTTTAAGGGCGCGAACCTGGGTGGGACGGGGCAGTTTTTCCAGCGGGCCATACGGGAAAATTTTTGGTTCGAGGAAGACAACCACCCTTTTTAAGGAGAAAACTGCATCTTGCCCTGCCTTATTCCTACGCGGTGCCCAGGTGGGGTGTGTGTGGACCAGTCGATGACCGCCCAAGCTCTCCGAGTAGAAAACCCAAACATGGTTTTGTGGGGTGTGTGCCTTTGACCCCGGACTTAAGCAACAAGCGTGGTCTTGGGCGTAGCTACGAGGTGGTTGGTGGGCTCCAGGGCCTGCGTGCCCCTCGACGTGAGCGATGATTGGCGATGAAGGATAACAGATCGCCTTCTCGGCCACTCAGTGGCAGGGGACTTGCTACTTCCGGGTCGGTGGCGTCTGGCGTGGAGAGTTTGGGGATCTACAGCAGCCAAAGGCTTGTCCCTGACTTTATATGGCTGCTCCTGGCGAGCGACTGAGTCGTCCGTGAGGAAAAAGAGGCGAGGCTTTTCCGAGATCGTCTCAGCGATGGCGCTTCGGTCGCGGTTTTGGGGGTTGTTCTCGGTTTGCAGGAACCCTGGTAATTAGTCTTGCCCCCCTTCTCCCAGCTCACTCGCCTGGGCTTGCACAGTACATTGGAACGTGCGGGTTCTATTTTGTATTCGACGTGCCGGATCGAAATAGAGCTCGCGGCACTGCGAAGACCACAGTAGGAAGTTAAGGACGGGGTCAGTGCTGACTCCACCCTGTGGGCATACGTATTTTTCGTCCCCTCGGGCCTAAAGATTGGGGGTGTAAAAGCGGATAGACGTTAGAGCGGGTTCGTGCGCTGTCCATATCCGTCATTTTTAAGCCCTGTGCGGTTTTTCCCGTTGCCCAGGGTGCAGGTTCGCAGCCCTGTCAACCAGCTCCGAGCCGGCAGCGAAACCTGAAGTGGACCCTGTGGAAAATGAAGCTGTCGCCCCAGAATTCACCAACCGGAACCCCCGGAACCTGGAGCTTTTATCTGTAGCCAGGAAAGAGCGGGGCTGGCGGACGGTGTTTCCCTCCCGTGAGTTCTGGCACAGGTAATTAAATCTGCTTGTGATTGACAAGGGCAGTGCACCCTACAGACTATTTTCATTCATTCAACTCCAGGCACTCTCCCAGGTAGCTGCCATGCGGCGGGTAGAGGCAGGGTTCGCGGAGGGGCTGGAACAAACAACAAATAGGTGTGATGGGGGCTATTTAAAGAGGATGTTACAGTAGCGGACAGGATACCTGCCTGTCTGAGGTGACATTTAAGAAGGTGAGATCTGAAAGAGGAAGAAGCCTAGTCATCTGCCAGAAAGAGCAGTCCTAGCAAAGGAAACTGCTGGGGTGAGGAACTGAAGGGCTTGTGGATCTGAAGCTCAATGGGCAGAGGATGAATGGCCCAAGATGAACATGGAGGGGTAAGGAGGCGACAGATGATTAGCTTTGTAAGTCAAGATGAGCACTTTAGACTTTCTTTTCATTATAGTGGGAAACTACGAGAGGATTTAAAGCTTGAGCCCGAATTGGTTTTTCAAGATCATTCTGGCTGGGCGCATTGTCTCATGCCTGTAATCCCAGCACTTTAGGGAGCCAGCCGAAGAAGCCGGATCATCTGAGGTCAGGAGTTTGAGACCAACCTGGCCAACATGGTGAAACCCCGTCTCTACTAAAAATATAAAAATTAGAGGGGCGTGGTGGTGCACGCCTGTAATCCCAGCTACTCCAGTGGCTGAGGCACGAGAATCACTTGAACCCAGGAGGCGGAGGTTGCAGTGAGCTGAGCGCCTGGGCGACAGAGCAAAATTCTGTCTCAAAAAAAAAAAAATCATTTTAGCTGCTTTTTGGAAGATTAAATTTTTGAGGGAGCAGGACTTGAAGAAAGACCAGTTAGGAGTCTAGTATGACTTGAGATACTTTGTTATAAAGGTGGTTGTTTAATGAACACTTACATTTGCCAGGAATTATGCTACTTGCTTTATATGTTTTTTCTCATTTAATCCTTAAAATTACATCATGAAGCAGTTATAATTTCCCCCATTTTACAGGATCAAAGAAATTGAGGTTTAGGGAGACATGATTAGTAAGTGCCAGAGCTAAGATTTACATATGTTTTAACTGACCTCAGAGCCAGGACGCTAGGTTATTACCACTATACTACAGCATGTAAGTGTTTATCAGGTTTATCTGCTGCTTATCTGCTTGGTGAGGATTTTTTAGAATTTCTTAAGGACTTCTTAAGTACTATGTAAAGTTGTAAGAGTAAATTGGAAATCATTACTGTGTGATGTATTATTTATTTATTGAACAAGCATCATACCTGTATCACTTGCTAGGCATTGCGTTAGAGGCAGGAGTTACAAAGATAAAGTAGATGTTATCCCTGTCATCAAAAGTCTTAAGTTTCATAGTGGAAAGTGGAATGGGGATAATGATGTGTTACAGTTGCTGTAATACATTTTTACTCATAGAGGAGGGAGTCCAAGAAAGGGAGTAGGCAGTTCACTTTTTAAATAATCTGGATCTTAAGGCTAAAAATCTTTTGAAACACCCAACCTATTACTTTCTTTTTTCTTTGTTTTTGAGACAGGGTCTGGGTCTGTTGCCCAGGCTAGAATGCAGTGGTATGATATCTGCTTACTGCATCCTTGACTTCCCTGGGCTCCAGCAATCTTCCCACCTCAGCCTCCTGAGTGGCTGGGACTAGAGGCGCATGCCATTACTCCCAGCTAATTTGTTTTGTTTTGTTTGAGACAAGCTCTGGCTCTATCACCCAGGCTGGAGTGCAGTGGTACAGTATCAGCTGGCTGCAACCTCTGCCTCCCAGGCTCAAACGATTCTCCCATCTCAGCTTCCTGAGCATCTGGGACTGCAGGCACACACTACCATGGCCGGCTAATTTTTTTCTTTTTCTTTTTTTTTTTTTCTGGTATTTTTTGTAGAGATGGGGTTTTGCTGCTGCCCAGGCTGGTCTCGAGCTCTTGAGCTCGAGAGATCTGCCTGATTCAGCCTCCCAAGGTGCTGGGATTACAGACGTGAGCCACTGCACTCGGCCCCAACGCATTACTTTGATTTAATATTTGGATCATTAAAAATAACTAAAGATGTATTTCCTCATTTTTTCTCTGTCTGCCTTACTCGCAATATTAAAAGTAGAGAATTTCAGAATATTATAGTAGGAAATGACCTTTGACATAATGAATCGGGCCCTTCATTGAACAAATGGTTCAAGTGTCAGCAAACTACGGCCCGTGGGCCAAAGGTAGATTGTGAGCTAAAAACTTGTTTTTACTTTTTTTAAGTTAAAAAAAAAATCAAAAGAATATTTTGTGGCTTGGGAAAATTAAATGAAAATCAAATTTCGTTGCCCAGGTTCTTAGAACCTAGCTGTACCTACTCTCATTTGTTTACGCATCACCTGGCTGTTCTAGCACTACAATGGCTGAGTCGAACAGTTTCAACAGAAGCTATTGGACCTAGAAAGCCTAAAATATTTACTATCTGGCACTTTGTGGAAAAAGATTGTTGACTCCTGGTTTAACAGATTGTGATTTTTGGCCGGGCGCGGTGGCTCACGTTTGTAATCCCAGCACTTTGGGAGGTCGAGGCGGGCGGATCACGAGGTCAGGAGATCAAGACCATCCTGGCTAACACGGTGAAACCCCGTCTCTACTAAAAATACACAAAAAAATTAGCCAGGCGTGGTGGCAGGCACCTGTAGTCCCAGCTACTAGGGAGGCTGAGACAGGAGAGTGGCGTGAACCTGGGAGGCGGAGCTTGCAGTGAGCCGAGATCGCGCCACTGCACTCCAGCCTGGGCAACAGACTGAGACTCCGTCTCAAAAAAAAAAAAAGAGATTGTGATTTTTTACTAGAGCCACCAGGAAAACCAGGAGTAGACTCCATATTTCCAAATCTAATGCCTCTTCTATTTCACATTGAGAATCCTAGTGAGAATCTAATGATTTGGGTGTGTTTTCTTTAACTTAAACTTGACTTTTTAAAGGGTAACATATACGTATGTTATAAAATCCAAAGGGAGTACAGTTTCTTGTGTGTCCTTCTAAAGATTGTCTATGCATATAAGCAAAAACTGTTAAAAACAATAAATCTTAGCATACGATAAACACTTCCGCATCTTTCTTCACCACCACCCTCAACCACCCCAAGCACGCACTTAAAAATACATCTTGGAGATTCTTCATGGTAGTTAAGAGCATTGACTCTGGAGCCAGACACTGGGACTTAAACCATGGCTCCATTACTTACTAGTTTTAATCTTTTTCAAGTTACTTAACCTTTCTGTGTTAGTTTCTGCAGCTAAAAAAAAATATAGAAAAAATAATAGAATTGAGACATAAGCTTTATCTATAAACCGTTAAGACAGGCCTGGCATATACTAAGTGCTCAGTAAATGTTAACTATTATCTTCATCATTATAAAGCATTATTTCATTCATTTCAGTAACTGTATGGAATACTATTGCATGGATTTTACTTAACTCGCTCCTAGAGGGTGATTATCTTTTATGATTACAGTGTTGCATCGAATTGTCTTGTCCATGCATTTTGTTAGTGAGATTGAGCATATTTTTGTGAATTTGAGTCATTAATATTTTTCTTTTCTGTGAACAGTCTGTTTGGATAATGCTTTGCCTATTAAGTTATGAAGGGGTGGGTTGCCCCTCCTCACCTGTGGGTGTTTCTTGTTAGGTGGAACGAGAGACTTGGAAAAGAAAAAGACACAAAGTATAGAGAAAGAAATAAGGGGACCCAGGGAACCAGCGTTCAGCATATGGAGGATCCCGCCAGCCTCTGAGTTCCCTTAGTATTTATTGATCATTCGTGGGTGTTTCTCTGAGAGGGGGATGTGTCAGGGTCACAAGACAATAGTGGGGAGAGGATTAGCAGACAAACATGTGAACAAAGGTCTTTGCATCATAGACAAAGTAAAGAATCAAGTGCTGTGCTTTTAGATATGCATACACATAAACATCTCAATGCTTTACAAAGCAGTATTGCTGCCCGCATGTCCCACCTCCAGCCCTAAGGCGGTTTTTCCCTAACTCAGTAGATGGAACGTACAATCGGGTTTTATACCGAGACAGTGCATTGCCCAGGGACAGGCAGGAGACAGATGCTTTCCTCTTGTCTCAAGTGCAAGAGGCATGCCTTCCTCTTATACTAATCCTCCTCAGCACAGACCCTTTACGGGTGTCAGGCTGGGGGACGGTCAGGTCTTTCCCTTCCCACGAGGCCATATTTCAGTCTATCACATGGGGAGAAACCTTGGACAATACCTGGCTTTCCTAGGCAGAGGTCCCTGCGGCCTTCCGCAGTGTTTGTGTCCCTGGGTACTTGAGATTAGGGAGTGGTGATGACTCTTAACGAGCATGCTGCCTTCAAGCATCTGTTTAACAAAGCACATCTTGCACAACCCTTAATCCATTTAACCCTGAGTTTGACACAGCACGTATTTCAGAGAGCAGGGGGTTGGGGGTAAGGTCATAGATTAACAGAATCTCAAGGCAGAAGAATTTTTCTTAGTACAGAACAAAATGGAGTCTCCTATGTCTACTTCTTTCTACACAGACAGTAACAATCTGATCTCTTGCTTTTCCCCACAAGTTATTGATCATTTTCTTGTTAATTATAGGAGGCTTTTAACATATTGTGTAAATTAGCTCTTTGAACAATATATGAGTTTAAAATATTTTTTCTTTTTATATTTTTGTGACAGGGTTTCACTCTGTCACCCAGGCTGGAGTGCAGGGCATTATCACGGCTCACTGCAGCCACAACCTCCTGGGCTCAAACAATCTTCCCACCTCAGCCTCCCAAGTAGCTGGGACTACAGGTGCACACCATCACGCCTGGCTGATTTTTTCTATTTTTTGTAGAGACAGAGTGTCACTGTGTTGCCTGGGCTGGTCTTGAACTCCTTGGCTCTAGCAGTCCTCCTGCCTCAGCCTTCCAAAGTGCTGGGATTACAAGCTTGAGTCACATGCCCAGCCTAAAATATTTTTTGTTTCATTGCTTTTCTTTTGACTTCATTTTACTTTTTTTTTTTTTTTTTTTTTAACCATGCAGCAAATTTTGTCCATCATTTCTTTTTTATGCCATATGAGGGGCTGGGCATGGTGGCTCAGCCTGTAACCCCAGCACATTAGGAGGCTGAGGTGGGTAGACTGCTTGAGCTTAGGAGTTTGAGACGAGCCTGGGCAATATGGCAAACCCTGTCTCTACAAAAAAATACAAAAATTAGCTGGGTGCAGTGGCATGCGCCTGTAGTCCCAGCCACTTGGGAGGTTGAGGTGGAAGGATGACTTGATCCCAGGAGGCAGAGGCTGCTGTGAGCCAAGTTCGTGCCTCTGTACTCTAGCCTGAGAGACAGAGGCAGACCCTGTCTCAAAAAAAAAAAAAAATGGCCATATGAAGCTGGACACAGTGGCTCATGCCTGTAATCCCAGTGCTTTGGGAGGTTGAGAAGGGTGGGTCGCTTGAGGCCAGGAGTTTGACACCAGCCTTGGCAACATAGGGAGACCCTGTCTCTACAAAATAAAAATTATCTTGGTGCAGTGGCATGCACCTGTAATGCCAACTACTTGGGAGACTAAGGCAGGAGGGTTGCTTGAGCCTAGGGGTTTGAGGCTACAGTGAGCTGTGGTTGCACTGCTGTACTCCGAGCTGGGTGACAGTGAGACCCTGTTTCTGAAAAATAATAAAAGCCATATGACATGGTTTGATGTCATATTTAAATATGCATACCTTGAGATTATAAAAAAATTTCTCATGTTTTCTTCTAGTACTGTTATGATTTCAGTTTTTGCATTTAAATTTTTGTTCCGTCTTATATTTATTTTGGTGCTAGCTATAAATAAAAGCAAAGAGTAAGTATATCCATGTCATGCATATGTTCAGTAACTTAGCTCTGTCTCTTCAAATCTCTTTTTGAAGTAGATCTGTAAATAAAACTCAGCTCTTCAGAAACAAATTTCTTCATGATACTTGAACTATTTAGTTTGTTATTATTGAGGATATTCTCATAAAGGCGGAGGAAAAATACTTTTCCCAAGCAAAATCCAAGTTAAATATGTTGAAGTAAATGAACCAAACACTGGATTGTTGAAAAATATTTAGTCATTTATTCACCTCAATTAATGTAACTTTAGGATACAGATTCTTCTGTGATTTTATTATCTTCTCACCCCATTTAGGTTGCGAGTTATAAGGACTCAGCATCATGTAGAAGCACTTGTGGAGCATCAGAATGGCAAGGTTGTGGTTTCGGCCTCCACTCGTGAGTGGGCTATTAAAAAGCACCTTTATAGTACCAGAAATGTGGTGGCTTGTGAGAGTATAGGACGAGTGCTGGCACAGAGATGCTTAGAGGCGGGAATCAACTTCATGGTCTACCAACCAACCCCGTGGGAGGCAGCCTCAGACTCGGTATTTTTGTTTTCATGTACTTATTGAAAAGGTATTGTGTTAATTCTTGGCATTAGATAACTTACATAATAATAACAGTTTTTACTTACCAAATACTTTCCATGTGTCAGACCCTTTGGTGAGTACTCAACAGTGTTACTTCATTTAATCCTCACATCAGTCCATAGGGTAGGGACTAGTACTCTCATTCTATACAGAAATAAACTGAGGCTTACTTGCCCAGAGTCAGTGTATGGTGGATTTCAAACCCAGGGTGACTGATTCTGTAGTCCATGATGTCAGCCACTGTATTTCCTGTTCATATATTGACATCTTGTCCATATAATATTTTGAAATGCTGCTGAACCTTGACATCTCTACATTTCCTTTTTACTTACATCATTATTAAGATCACTTTCTGAAAAACCGTTGTAGGCTGGGAAGTTAGCAAGAACAAATCAATTTATTTCTGTCTTTTGGAAGGTGAAAGTATTTTCAGCCTACTCGTGCTGCTGACTTAATCTTTTCCTTTTTTTTCTGATTTTCAAAACCAGATGAAACGACTACAAAGTGCCATGACAGAAGGTGGTGTGGTTCTACGGGAACCTCAGAGAATCTATGAATAAATGGAAGCATTAATTGTTTTGAACATGTAAATATAAATCTGTCAGCCACTACAGCCATCAAAAGAGAGCATCTGGAAGAACAGCCAGCTTGGAAGTTTTACAGCAATAATGTTGCAGTGGAATATTATTTGTAGTTAAGGTCATCCTCCTCCCCTTTCTGTTTTTTTAAATCAAGAACTACGTTCTGCCCCTCTCTTGGGCTTCAGAAGCATCTAAGAAAAGCAGTCATCAATTATAATTAACTTTCAAAGGGCAAGTCAGAAGTTGTTTATAAATTACAAAATAAAGGCATATTATGAACTCTTATTTTCTGGTTATATGACATTGTCTGAGCTCACTGTGGCAGTGGAGCACATATGAGGTTGATGTAAAGCACTTATTACTGTGTCTAGTTCATGGCGAGTGATCTCAGTGAATGACAGTTGTTTGCTGCTCGGAGTGTGGGTTGTTTTTTAAAATAGGAAATGTCAGTATCAATCTAATACTATAGAACAGTCAGTATGTGAAAATGAAAGGACCAAATGCCAACCTCACTTGGACTCTTGGTTCCCAACAGTAAGAGAAACAAATTTGAAAGAGGAAGGAGGTGGCATCAGGAGCTGAAAGCAGAGGTGGAAATGGTTGGGGTTAGTGGGCGCTCAATTTGCCATGAAGTGAACATTTTATTAGATAGGAGATGAAACTTGAAATGCATGCAAGTTAATCTAAAATTTGAGCTTGGGTAGATGGGAATCATGGCAGTTCTCTGAAAGGAGCTGATTAAGGTGTTAATTTTTGGCTATTTGATAAATGTGAGAAAAAACCTGTAGGCAGTTAAGGTGGCTTCTAGAGCATTGTTTTCCAGTTTTTTTAATGTATACCCCAATTAAATGTTTGTTTAGAAGTGAAATATGTTACTTCTGCCAATTTGAGTATTCAATGTGTTATTTTAAATGGAACACATCTGTATGAAGTATGATTTGTTCTGAGAGGTCTTCAGAATCAAATGGCTTAATAGTCCCCTTTTGCTTAATTAATGTCCCGGAGAGGCATTTAAAAGTATAATTGAAGATCGGATGCAGTGCCTCACACCTCTAATCCCACCACTTTAGGAGGCTGAAGCAGGTGGATCACTTGAGGCCAGGAATTCGAGACCAGCCTGGCCAATACGGTTTAACCCTATCTCTACTAAAAACAAAAATGAGTTGGGCGTGGTGGTGCATGCCTGTAATCCCAGCTGTTCAGAGGCTGAGGCGGGAGAATCGCTTGAACTCAGGAGGTGGAGATTGCAGAGAGCCGAGATGGCACCACTGCACTCCAGCCTGGGTGACAGAGTGAGACTGTCTCAAAAGGAAAAAATAAAGTATAACGGTAATGTTTTCTCCGCTAACCTTAAAGATTGATTTGAGCACCTCACTTTGAGGACCATAGTTCCAAAACGCTGTTCAAGTAGAAGCCTAGAATTCAAGGGAGGACACTGTAAGGAAGACCATGGACTAGTTGCACTGGAAACAGTAACAAAAGTAAAAATTAAGCTCACATGTATGTGATGATGTAGGTAGGGATTTCCGCAAGGAGTGAGTGCACGAGATAATCCCTGGGGACCAAGGATTCCTTCAATTTAATGGGCAGTTCTTGAGGCTTTGCAAAGTTTGATTGCAGGTGTGAAGACAGTGGTAAGGTGGACAGCAGAATGAGGAAAAAGATGTCCAGGGGCGTGGGAGAGGGAATGGGGACAGACATACTGGCAGTGATGGAGAAGTTGGGAAGAGGTGATTTAGAAGACCGTGAGCCGCAGCAAAGGATCTGCTTATTGCAGTTGCGTCCGGTGTTGTTCCTGCTCCGCTTTTCTGATTTCACCCTTTCTGGACTCTGTCTTCGTCTCCTGCCACGCCTCTTAACATTCTAAGTCCATGTAAATGACATTCTCACGTTAAGGGCTGCAAAGAAATTGCTGAGGAGCCAGGTAAACAGGCTTTGATTGCAATTGCAATCAAACCTCTGTAGCAAATCGTACAATTAAAACACCCGCAGGCAGGTGTGGGCGACGCCAGCAGCACACGGGGAAGCTGGGCACGTGGGGCGGAGGCAGCTGCCTGGTTTCCATGTGTGCGCCCTTTAAGACCCGGCGGCGCGACGGAAGCGCGTGGGCAGCACGTGGGCAGCACGTGATAGCGCTGGGCGACTCCGCGGAGCTGCACGGCCATGGACGTGGGCGCCGACGAGTTCGAGGAGAGCCTCCCTCTGCTGCAGGAGCTCGTCCAGGAGGCCGACTTCGTGGGTGAAGAGCCTGGGATTCGCGGCTGTGCCGGACAGAGCCCCTTGCCCCGGGCGAGCTTGAGGAGGGGGTGGCGGGACGGTTGCCAGGCCACAGGGCCTCAGAGAGGGCCTCGGGAAGGACAGGGGGGCTTCCTTCTCCAGCCCCGGGGCGGTGGGACTTTGAGCAGCAAGTACACTCCGAGCCCCACGTCCCTTGTTGGCCAGAGCCCCGTGCGCCCAGGTGCCTGGCTGCTCCTTGCCTTGGTTCCTCCATTTTCCCTTCCTGACCTCACTTGGCTTCTTGAGCGCAGAGGTGAGCGCGGGTGCCTTGGCCGCCTGCAGATCTACAGTGTGAGGAGTGCTGGCGATGTTCTGCACCCGAGGACTGCTATTTTTTGCCTTCCTGGCAGGTCTGGACATAGAGTTCACGGGCCTTCGTTCTAACCTGTCTGGGCCCCAGCAGATCAGGTAAAACTAAAGCTGTGTCCCCTCTGTATAAGAGCCTGGCCAGACCAGCACTGTTTCTGGCCAGCAGCCTGTTGGCATTTGGGGGGCAGGACGTTTTGTGTGGCTTGCTCCTACGTGTTGGAGGACCTTGCTTTTTTCTGTCCACTAAATGATGGTAGTGCTCCCTAGTTGTTGTAACAAGGAAAAAATCCTCCCCGGTTGCGAGTGGTGGTCCTGCCGCGGAGGCCATAGTGCCGGGATGGGATGTCATTGCTCGTGGAATGAGATGCCTGTTTGTTCACAGTCTTTTTGATTTGCCATCGGAGTGGTATCTAAAGACCCGTCAGAGTGTTCAGCAATTTACAGTCTGTCAGATTGGTGAGTTTAATATCAGCTGTTAGAGTTTTTCAAGAAGGTATTTTTATTGTCCTTGGATTTCCTACTGTAAAAACAGCTCTGAGATTTTTCAAGGATATTGAGTATCGTTTTGTATGCTTGTTTTGTGTTGGGCCATTGTATACATATGGAAATCAACACTTCGGAGCAAACCAAATTTAGCAGCATTGTTTCCGTGCTTAAATAAGTCAGTATTAAGGAACACTCACTGTTACTCTTTCAAGTAAAACTGTGTGTGTGCGATTTTTATTTTATTTTTTGAGACAGGGTCTTGCTCTGTCACCAAGACTGGAGTGCAGTAGCATAGTCTTAGCTCACTGCAGCCTAGACTTCCTGGGCTCAAGTGATACTAGCACGTCAGCCTCCTGAGTAAACTGGGACTACAGGCTCACCACCACACCTAGCTAATTTTTAAATTTTTTGTTCAGATGGGTTTTCGTCATGTTGGCCAGGCTGTTCTTGACTTCCTGGGCTCGAGCAATCTTTCTGCCTCTGCCTCTCAAAGTGATGGAATTATAAGCGTGAGCAACCACACCTGGCCTGTGATTTTTTTTTCTTAAGAAAATTTACACACAAAAATAATTTTTTTTAAGGTCATCTCAGTTTCAGAAACTTTTTTTTTTTCCTTGATGGGATTTGGAGATCTTTCTGTATCGGTTCATACAGATCTATTTGTTGATTTAGTTATTAGTTTATTTTCTGAGATGGAGTCTCGCTCTGTTGCCCAGGCTGGAGTGCAGTAGCGCGATGTGGGCTCACCGCAACCTCCACCACCCAGGTTCGGGTGATTCTCCTGCCTCAGCCTCCAGAGCAGCTGGGATTACAGGCAATTGCCACCAGGCCTGGCTAATTTTTGTATTTTTAGTAGCGATGGGGTTTCACCATGTTGGCCAGGCTGGTCAAGACAGAGCTGTTAACGGTTGCGTAATGCTGTTTCTTTTACAGCTACTCAATCCTGCTTTTGTAATGTGAAATTAGCTGTAGAGAATACATGAACAAATGAGCATGGCTCCATTCCAGTAAAATGTTATTGTATTTACAGAAACAGACCCTGGGCCAGATTTTACTTTTCTGGGTTTGTCTGTGCCCTCTCCCGCACCATTGGGTTTTTGCTGTGTTGCCCAGGCTGGGCTCAAACTTTTGGGCTCTGGAGATCCTCCAGTCTCAGCTTCTGAAGTAGCTGGGAGTGCTGCCACGCCCAGCCCCTGCTTTTACTATGAATGATGCTGAACGTGTGTGTGTTTTCCTCTCTATCCTGATCCTTTGCTACTTTTCTGTTATGGTTTTTTTTTTGTTCGTTTGTTTGTTTTTAATTATAAGACCTCTTTGAGAAGTATAGGAAACAGTTGTAGTTATGTTTCCATTGTTGTACCCAAATTTGTTTGGGGGGAAGGGGGACAGAGTCTTGCTCTGTTGCCCAGGCTGGAGTGCAGGGGCACGATCTTGGCTCCCTGCAACACCCTTGCCTCCCAGGCCCAAGCAATTCTCCTGCCTCAGCCTCCTGAGTAGCTGGGATTACAGGTGCGCGCCACCACACCTAGCTAATTTTTGTATTTTTAGTAGAGACAGGGTTTCACCATGTTGGTCAGGCTGGTCTCGAATTCCTGACCTCAAGTGATCCACCTGCCTAGGTCTCCCAAAGTGTTGGGATTACAGGCATAAGCCACCGCACCTGGCCTGAAGTCTTTTTTTTTTTTAACTTTGCATATGGTTTTCTTTGAGGGGGGAGGAATAGACATTTTAAATGAGTTAAATATATAAATCTTAATGGTTTTTGGTATTTTCTGTGGATAGTTTTAAAACTATGAGAATGTCATTTTAATATTTACTTCTGTATTTGAAGAACAGGCCACAATTAGATTTTAGCAAATTCAGTGTGAATTACAATTTGACATTTCTCATGCTTCCAGTCTGTCTTTTCTTTTTTGTCATTAAAGATGTTATCCTGTTGTACAGCCCACATAGTATCTGTGGGCGCAAAGTACTGTTTGAGTTGTTTTTGTCTTTGTAGTGAAATTCAGGTTGCTTTTCCTTGGCATTCATTCCCTCTACGGTCATTCTTCCAGGATTGTCTGTGTTTTCCGCTATTGAAGGAGAGGCAAACAAGTATGTATCAAGAGCTTCTGCAAACATAGGTGCTTCCCACCTATGTTCCACAGCTGCCACCTTCAAATTCTGCCTCAGGTGCCCCGATCACTTTTGCCCTGGATCTTCCGTATTCTCTCCTGTGTCTGTTCCTCCACTCACTCTGCCCTCTGCGGATTCCAGCTTGTCTTTGATGTCTCTCTGGAAGCAGTACCTTTCCCGCCAGCCTTGCTCTGTACCTTAAGTGCTCCTTTCCCCATTTCCATTGTCTCCAGTGTGCACCTATATTAATAAAAGCGCCTGACACAGTGTGGTGTAATGAAAGTGATGTTTAAACTACCTGACACAGTAGGCAGAAAGGATGCCCCAACTATCAGGATGCCTCCCCACCCCCCATGAGCAGTTGAGGGTGCCAGCCTGCACGCCCTAACCTGGCATCCCTGGGCAGCTTGTGGAGGGGCTGTCTCTGTGGTATACGCTGGCCCTGAAGGCAGGCTCTCTGCCTTTTTCATTTAGCACCCCCAGTGCCAATCATAGCTCCTGAAACACAGCAGACACTCGGGCACACTCAGATTCTTCTTGCCTAAAAGAAAGAGCCCACCCTGAAGCCAGCCCTGGGAGCCAGAGTTTTTTAAATGGTTGTGGCTTTTTCTCTGTATGTTTGTTTTATTATAGGTATATAGCCCATTCTTGTAACTTCTATCTCTTCCCTACAACGTTTGGGATTTTGGACTCAGAATTCTCCTTCCAGGCTTCCAGTGTTCAGTTTTTGAATCAGTATGGCTTCAACTATAACAAGGTATGGCATTGGAGGAGGGGAACGGGAATGTCTTTTGTTTGTTTCTGAGATGGAGTCTCGCTCTGTTGCCCAGGCTGGAGTGCAGTGGTGCAATCTTCGCCTCCCGGGTTCAAGTGATTTTCCTGCTTCAGCCTCCCAAGTAGCTGGGATTACAGGCACCCGCCACCATGCCCAGCTAATTCTTTTTGTATTTTTAGTAGAGACGGGGTTTCACCATGTTGGTCAGGCTGGTCTTGAACTCCTAGCCTCAGGCAATCCACCTGCCTCGGCCTCCCAAAGTGCTGGGGTTATAGGCATGAGCCACCGCACCCGGCCTGGGAATGTCTTACAAGTGATCTAGACGAACTGGCTTATACAGCCCGTCTCCTTTCCCCTTTCTACCTGTCCTCGTGAAATCAGGCACAGAGGATCCCTCTGACTTGTCTCCTTGTTCTGTTTGTTGTTCTGTTTCTGTCTTAAGTTTCTCAAAAACGGAATCCCATATATGAATGAAGAACAGGAGAAGAAAATTAGACACGATATCCTGACTGGGAACTGGAGAGTTCGCAGGTATGGCCTGTTTCTCCAGGTGCCTTTTTGTTTCCTTGTTGCTGTTGTCTGCATTTCCCGTGGGCGGGCGTGCCGTTTCCAGGAGTGTGGTGACCTCCATCCATGCTTGGCGGGGATGGCTTCAGCTGCCTGTGCAGCTGGCGCTGCTCTCCCTGTGCCCCAACTGAGAATGGCTTTCACCTGTCTCCATCATGTTCCACTCCCTAATGAACCTCTCACTGCGTTGAGTGTGAGTTTCAGTGTTTAAAAAGAAAAAGAAACTGACTCCTAATTTGGAACTCAAAGAAACAAGAATTCCATTCCAGTGCTAGAGGGGAAGAAATCGTTCTGTTGGACTTGCTGTGAGATGTTATGTTGATCCCCCATGTGATCTTCTGAGGGATTTTTCAAGGATATCTCTCGGGCAACCTTGACTGTGCCAATCATACTGGGCACTGACTTCAGATGTGTGCCTTGGTTAGGCTGTGTCTGCCCTGCTGTGCCTGACCCTGCTCCCCTAGGCCGGGACCTCTGCCTTTTTACTTTGGCTGTCTGTGCCAGCCCCAGTCTCCAAAACCTCGTATTCCTGTAGAGCTGGGGTCAGGAGTGACCACAGCGAGAGCAACAGCATTGTGGGTAGACGGACCGGGGGCCTTGGGGCTGGTACCCTCACCTGGAGCCAAGTGCTATCAGCTAGGTGTGGGTTTGAACAAGGTATGGAAGCTCTTTGCCTTTATCAGGAAGGGGGAGATTAAATGAACATCTGAAATGCGATGAGTGATGATCTCTTCCAGATAATTCTGTTATGTTGGAGGAATTTTTGTCTCTTTGTATTTTTCCTGCTGGTTTTCATATAAAAATGTAGCTTTTTGTAAGGGAAAAACAAGTTGAATTTTTAACCTTCTTTCATTTTCAAGAGTTGGAGAAAGGCCTTTCCTTATCTCAAAATGATGTTAGGTTCTGTTTCTGATGCAAGAGGCAATGTGTTTACCAAAGTCCTTGTCTTTTCCTGATTATCCCAGATAGAGACTTTATCACCCCTGAAAGCTGAATAAAGAAGACGGTCCTGATAGCAATGCTTGGTATTGGCTAGATACCAATAGCTTTTCCTCCATACATCCTAGTGAAGCAGGAGGGGATTGAATATATGCCTGGATCCTATGGAAGGTTGTGGGCTATTCTTCCAATTGTTTGGCTTCCTATTGCATAAGAGCCTCAGAGAAGAAATCGTCTTCTTTTGGTACATTTTCTTTGTATATTGCAACATGAAAACCAGAGGGTTCAGAAACTGCTCTCATGTTAACATAGTCTTGCGGTTCTGAAGTGTTTTTCTCTGACATGTTCACTTTCATGCGCCCATTTTCAGCTCTCCGGATAAAGACCAAATCAAGGTGGTGATTGACGAAGTGACGCGGTGGCTGGAGCTGGCCAAGGAAGGCGACTGGATGACTCTTCCTGGGATCACTGGTAGGCAGGGCCTGTTCCTCCCAACGCAGGAGCATTGGGACAGGTCACTGTCACCTGCCAGGAGTTGGGGGAAACACACCCTTTCTTGGGATCCTGGTCCCAAGTGCCTCATGACTGAGTCTGATGCAAGCATTTGTTTGGCGGTTACGGAGTCTTTGTGGTTAAAGTTCTGACCTGCATTCACACGTTGAAGGCTTTCGACATACTTTGGGTTTCAAGGCTGAGAAGGTCAAGTTCCATTCCTGAGCCATTCCTTTTATTTCAGTCCTGGGTGCCCTGTATTATCTTGACTTTTGTTAATCACTAAGCTTTTCCCCCAGCATGTGGTGTGGAGCCACAGTGAACACGCCATAGCTTAGCAGCTCTCAGAGGCTGGTCTATGGATCCTAGAGTCTCTGGGACCCTTTCCAATGGATATGTGAGGTCAAAACGGTTTTCCAAGTATCCCTCAGCTGTACTTGCTATTGTCATTGTGCCATTTGCATTGGTGCCCAAGCGATGTCGGACAAAGCTGCTGGCATCTCAGCACACATTAAGGCAGGAGCATCATACCGTGTTCTTCATTACCACTTACTCTCAGTTAAAAACGGAAAGGCCAATCTTAGTAGCAGCCTCCTTGATTAAAAAGTAATATTCTTGGTTGTATTAAATCTCAATCTTTTGATTACTCATCTTTTAAATATATGTCAATATAGGTATGTAAAAAATAAGTATGCATAAAACATTCCTTAGGTGTGTGCCAAAATACAGTGATTGTGTCAAGGAAAAGTGCTTGTGCAGTCTTTTGAGAGCTGAATTAGCTGCCTTTTTTTTTTTTTTTTTTTTGAAGATATAGTTTTGCTCTTGTTGCCTGGGCTGGAGTGCAATGGCACGATTTCAGCTCACTGCAATCTCCGCCTCCCGGGTTCAAGTGATTGTCCTGCCTCAGCCTCCTGAGTAGCTGGGATTACAGGTGCCTGCCACCATGCCCGGCTAATTTTTGCATTTTTAGTAGAGATGGGGTTTAACCATGTTGGCCAGGTTAGTCTCAAACTCTTGACCTCAGGTGATCCTCCCACCTTGGCCTCCCAAAGTGGTGGGATAACAGGCATGAGCCACCGCACCCGGCCCCATGAAATATCATTTTTACTGGAAAGAACTGATTGGTTGCTTAGACTTGAAGGTTTCACAATCATTTTCTCAATGAAAAGAGCTTGTTGGCCAGGTACAGTGACTCATGCTTGTAATCCCAGCATTTTGGGAGGCCAAGGCAATGAGCTAAGATGATGCCACTGCACTCCAGCCTGAGCAACACAATGAGACTCTGTTTCAAAGGAAAAAAAAAAGCCTGTCACTTCAAGGAAGATAACTCGCAGTATTTCCTAGTGATAAAATTACAGCTTTCAATCAACTGGAATTTTGAAGAATTTACATGTGCCACCGTAAGCTTGACAGCTTCCCAGTACCACAACCTTTCTGATGAGATCAGTGATCATATTTTCCAATGTCTTCTGTTGGTATTGTGTAATAAAATGTGCAAACATTTGGGAGACCTACATAACCCTGCCAACCAGCATTTTCCAGATTACTAGCACATAATGTTACTATTGTGCGCTATCTTATCTCATAGATAAGAGATCTATTCTAGGTGTGAGATAGGCCAGTGGATTGTAATGTAGCAGTACAATAAAACTCATTAATGATGGTTTCAGATTCCACAGTGCAATTAATCTTTAAGAAACTACCACTTGTTGAGTTTGGTACAGTTTTAAAGAATATCCAAAGTCATTTGATAAGGCTAGTAATTCTGTTCCCTTTTCCACCTACACATCTGCTTGAGGCTGGATTTTTTTTTTCTTTTTTTTTTTTGAGAAGGAGTCTTACTCTGTTGCCCAAGCTGGAGTGCAGTGGCACCATCTTGGCTCACTACAACCTCCGCCTCCCGGGTTCAAGGGATTCTCCTGCCTCAGCCTCCTGAGTAGCTGGGATTACAGGCATCTGCCACCATGCCTGGCTAATTTCTGTATTTTTAGTAGAGTCAGGGTTTCACCGTGTTGGCCAGGTTGGTCTCGAACTCCTGACCTCAGGTGATCCGCCCTCCTCAGCCTCCAAAAGTGCTGGGATTACAGGCATGAGCCACTGCGCCCAGCCGTGAGGCTGGATTTTCTTATGTTTCAATGATCACAACATATCAACAGATTGGATGCAAATGCCGATACAACATTCCAGCCAAATATTAGAGATTTGCAAAAATGTAGAACAGTGTCACTCTTCTCGCTAAGTTTTTGTTTTAGAAAATAGTTATTTTTTATAAGTGTTATTTTTGTTCATGTATAATGGGTTTTTGTTACTTAAAAAACTTCTTTAAATGTAAGAGTTTTAATTTCTAACATGTTTAATATCAATAGCTGTAACTCACATAAACACAAGCTCTATGGCATCCCCAACTTAAGAGTGGCCCTGAGATAAAAAAAAAAAAAAAAAACTCTTAGAATGCTGCCCCAGATCCCATCATGACAGGCCAGGCCCTGCCACATGGCTCATGGGCTTGGGCACCCTTCAAGCTCCCTTTCCACTTGACCTTTCCATCTCAGCTTCTGCTCCTCCAGGGCTTCTCTTGTGGGGAACATGCCACACGGTTCCAGGTGCTGTGTGCCCCTGTGTTTCCCTGCTGCAGGCTTCCAGGCCTTTGAGGTCCAACTGGTGCTGAGGCAGGCCCTCCCCAACATCTGGACGGTGCTGAAAGATGAGGGGGTGAGTTCTCACTGCGAACGGGGCATCAGTGGCTCCATTGTTTCTCTCTCATAATTGGCCAAATCTGGCCTCTGAAAAGCTTTTATCTTGCACGCTGCTAGTTTTTCCCCCTTTCCTTTTGTTTAGAGATGCAGAGCCATTTCTTTAGGCCTCATTCCTAGTAACCCAGGATTCAGGGAATTTGTCCCTGCTTTTCAGGTGGTAGTGAAGAAAGTGAGTAAACAACATCGTTGGTATCTTCAGAACACCTCTTGTGACCGAGAGAGCTGTTGGAAGGAAAATATTCTTCTCTCAGCAAGGGGTTTTTCTGTCTTTTTCCAAATGCTGGTGAAAGCCCAGAAGGTAGGAAAACATGTCTCTTTTCTTGGCCTAAAGGCAGTCTTTAGTATTTCTGGTCATAGATACTAAAGGCTCCTTCAACAACAAGATAAAATTCTTTGAGATAAGTGATTCCTTCTCATGAATTTTTTCATGTTTTACTTTCAGATAGGGTCTCACCTGTCACCCAGGCAGGAAGGAGTGCAGTGGCATGAACACGGTTCACTGCAGCCTTGACCTCCCAGGCTTAAGTGAAACTCATACCTCAGCTTCCTGAGTAGCTGGGACTACAGGCACATGCCACCATACCTGGCTAATTTTTTTTTTTTTTTTTTTTTTGGTAGAGACGGGATCTCGCAGTGTTGCCCAGAGTGGTCTCGAACTCCTGGGATCAAGTAATCTGCCTGCCTTGGCCTCCTAAAATGGTGGGATTATAGGCATGAGCCACTGCACCTGGCCTTCCTTCTCATTTATAACTAGCTTCCTGGATCTAACCTTGCTTTCACCAAATCATGATAGGTTAATTTGGGGCAAGAGTATCCATAAGAAACAGTACGACTTCTCTGCTCCTTTCCGTAACACAGGAATTTCAGTACTAACTGACCTAAGACTCTTTGGGGAAACTGCAAGTGCCTGCTTCACAGTATAGGTTTCCAGCGCAGACCCTGCCTTACGTGCCTCCTACTTGTGAATTGTTTTCTTTTTTCTTTTTGTTGGCATTTAAGCGGTTGAACTACCTTTCACAGAGGCAAAGGAAGGTTAGGATGGAACTGTCAAGTGATCAGAATTGCAGTGGGTTCTAACACTATATCTTTTGCAAGAAACTGTTAGTCTGTAGTGTCTGGATTACATTTTTTTATTTTCTCTCACCTGTTGATTTACTCCAAGTAGCCCTTAGTGGGACATAATATGATGATGGACCTGCTGCACCTCCATGAGAAGTTCTTCAGACCCCTCCCAGGTAGGGGCAAACCTGTCATTTCTCTTCCTTCACGCTAGTTTGCCATCTGGCAGAGGGATTGGTACACAATCATACCCCTGAGGCAGCTCCTAAAATGCCCATTCCTCCCCAGTGTCTGCAGGTTTCTGGAGAGTTTGGGCAGAGGCCTGTACTCTGATCTGTTACTGTCTCCCCAGAGTGGAAAACCAGGAGACTTTGTCAAGGGGGAAAAAATTTAAATTTGAATTGATACCCCTCTCCCCATTACTGAAGCTGTTCAGAGTTATTGTATGAAGCTTGGCAAAATCAGAAATGCATGAAGTCAGAAGTCACCTTTAATCAGCTAGTATCCTGAATTTTTACATATTTGATTACACTATTTGATTTTTGTTTGGCTTTTTTTCCACTTACCCAAAGCATTATTTTATGTTGTTAAAAACCTAATAAATGCTGCTTCAGTGTCATGTGACACTGTCTTCTGGCTGTCCCCTACTGTTTCATGGTTGATTCCATTATTGGACATTCAGTGGTGCAGCCTAGTGGGTAAAGTGGGGCCTCGAGCCTTGGTGATCTCATCCATCCCACACTCACTACGTGCGTAGTCTCCAGCGAGTTGACATTACCTTAATTGTAAGATTGGGATAATAGTGCCAATATCAGAGTTGTGAGATTAAATGAATTAATAAACGTACAAAGAACACTAGTCTAGATTACGAGGGGTAAGAAAGTTTTAGGAGCCATTTCCCCAAGAAACAATGAAACACCTGAGTTTGGGCATATTGAGAGAGTTGGAGAATTAGCAGTGAAATTAATAATACACATTCACCAAAAAACTAAGTACAACAAAATAAGCGCTGGGAGAACAAAAGCTGTGCAAGAAAGGAGAAGTCATTGTAGCCACCACAGAGCCTTTTGTGAATGACGCGCGTGGGGCGATACGGGCATGTGTGTGGAGGTGGAATGAGAGGGGTCATCACCCTCTCAGCCGGTGGGAGGTCGGGAGTGAGGTGTCTAACACCACACCATGCATGTGCGAGAGAGATGGGAATAAATACCAAAAGGAAAAGAACTGCGAGTGGTTGCCTTTGGGGAGTAGGAAATGGGAGAGTAGCGGGAAGAGATCACAGGGTTTTGTTTTTAGTGTGTGTGTTTTGCAATAAACCTCTTTAGGTGCAGGTATAACTGATAACTTTACCAACTGAGTTCTTGCATAAATTTTCTTTTATCAGGACACTTTACTAGTTATAATTTTTGATTTTTTTTCTTGGATTTTTCTCTGAGCAATTATTTACAAATGATATCATGTCTGCCTTTCTGATAATACTTCTATTTTTAAGTCTTATCCCATCGGCTAGAGCTTCGCAAACTACATTAACTACGGTTGGCAATAGAATGCATCCTGAATTTAATAGAAAACCGTTCGGCCTTTACTATTAAAAGTGGTGATGGCAGCTTGATCTGAGTTTAGAAATCCTTAGTGGCTAGGATTAATGGTGTTTTCAATTCCTGTTTTGTTTCAGTTTGCTTTATTAATCAGTGCCAGTGGCAAGCTAGGTTCAAGAATGTTCCTTCCCATTTTTGCCAACAAACAAATTCACTCTTGACTACCTGGGTTTTTCCCCTCAGAAAGCTACGATCAATTTAAGCAGAATATCCACAGCCTATTTCCTGTTCTCATTGATACCAAGAGTGTAACAAAGGATATCTGGAAGGTAATGAATAGAACTGCTTTGGGTTAAGAACTGCTTTTTCCATACCAGTAACACTTAGCTTTCTCTTGTGGGGTTTTTTTCTTGTGTTTTTTTGTTTTTTTTGTTTTGTTTTGTTTTGTTTTGTTTTGTTTGAGAGGGAGTCTTGCTCTCAAAGCCAGGCTGGAGTGCAATGGCGCGATCTCAGCTCACTGCAACCTTTGACTCCCTTGTTCAAGCGATTCTCCTGCCTCAGCCTCCTGAGTAGCTGGGATTACAGGTGCGCACCACCATGCCCTGCTAATTTTTTTGTATTTTTAGTAAAGACGGGGTTTCACCATGTTAGCCAGGATCGTCTTGATCTCCTGACCTCATGATCCACCCGCCTCGGCCTCCCAAAGTGCTGGGATTACAGGGGTGAGCCACTGCGCCCGGCCTGCCACTTGTGTTTTTTAAAGTTGTTCCTTGATTGCTTTTCTCTCTTCAAACCAGTATCAGTTTCCTTTTGTATTTTGGCACCTGTGCATCATTGTATTAGCTTATATATGACTTATTCCCTTTCTCTCCCTCCAGTTTCCACATTTTGACTTATTTGTGTAGAGTTTTTGTGCTTATTTAGATCAGACAACAGAACAACTTATTTTAGAACTTGATGCATGCCTTAGGAATATTTGCAACATGTGTACAGAGCACTGGGGGGGAGGGGGTTCCCTCCTGAAGAATCTTGAGAAAACCTCTTCTTCATTGAGCCCTCCAGTCATGGGTTCTCAGTCCTGAAAACATGTTGGAATCACGTGGAAAGTTGAAAATGCTGATAGCCAGGCTGCACTGGCAGCTTTTTGTCTGACCTAGAGTGGGGCCAGGTGGTATTTCTAAAGCTCCCTGGGTGATTCTGTTGTGGAGTCGAGGCTGTGTACTATGCATAGAGAAAAGCGACCTGACTGGTTTAAATGCTGCTTAGAAACGAAGCTGAGAATAGCCAGGCACAGTGGCTCACACCTGTAATCCCAGCATTTTGGGAGGCTGAGGTGGGTGAATGGCTTGAGCCCAGGAATTTGAGACTAGTCTGAGCAACATGGGTGAAACTCCATCTCTACAAAAAATACAAAAATTACCTGGGCATGTTGGTGCACACCTCCAGTCCTGGCTACTTGGGAGGCGTAAGTGGGAGGATCACTTAAAGCCCGGGAAGTGGAGATTGCAGTGAGCCGAGATTGCACCCCTGTATTCCAGCCTGGGCAACAGAGGAAGACCCTGTCTCAAGGGGAAAAAAAACAACAACTGAAGAACAGAGAAGGGGGCATCAGATCAATCTTGTGAAGCCTTAGAGTGATCCCTTACAAGTGAATTATCCAGCAAGGATGCCGCACAGATGGGAGTGGGGTCTGTGGTCTGTCTTTGCCCAGAGGCTGTTATTATTTGTAGTTGGTGTATTTCCAGCTACTATGAACTTTTAGGATTTAGTAACCAGGCATTGCCCCAAAGCCCTCTAGGCCTTAGAATGCCTGTATGCTCCATGTATGTCCCTGGCCTTTGTCCTCGTGCCTTGCTTTCCTGTGTTTATGGGTAATCTGTTGAACACATTTTCTAAGGGAGATAGTGTGTGTAGAGTTTTTTTCTAGCCTAGGTTTTTGAGAGTCCTTCTAGGAAACCCAGGAATACTGCGTACCCTGACATCCTAACTAAGGAATAAGGATGGTTGCACCATTTGAAGAGAAAGAGGAGGTTGTAGGAGTGAGCATTTTCCAGGCCATTTTAATGACCATTTGGTACTGCCTGAAACAGAGAATAAACAAAAGCGCAAATGTTTTCCTCTGGTTTGTTTTCCATGATTGTAGGAGATGAATTTCCCGAGGGTGTCGAATCTTTCGGAAGTCTATGAAGTCCTGAACAGGTGAGGACGGCGATTCCTGGAGCTACTGCTGGAGCGGCCTTGGTGGCCTCCCTGTGCTCCGCAGGCCTTTGGGCTCTCTAGGCGTGCCCACCATTCACAGTGATGCCTGCTTGGGACTTGGTCTCCTCCAGCTCCTCCTGCTTCATGGCCCCCTTCCTCCGATGACCCTCTTGCCTCCGTTTCCAAAGAGAGAGAAGCCAGAGACAGGAAATCTCTCAACCCCTGCCCCTCAAACAGTTGCGCGATTACTGTCCCCTTTTTCATTGTCTCGCCCCTGTCACCAGCAAATGGAGCACCTTCCCTGTGCAAGGCCAGGCAGGAGGAGCTGCCACCTACTCGTCACCTTCACCCCTGCTCAGCAACTCCCCACCCCTACCTGCCCCTTCCCGGGGTGTCTCCACCTCTTTCTGTCTCCCTCTCATTTCCTTCCACATCAACAAGTGTTCTCCCAACTTAACGACAAAGCCTCCTGAACTCTCTATGCTCCTCTTTCCTCAGCCCACGGCAGGCAGGGCCTTGTCTCCTTCACTCTGCTCTCCGCAGGGGCACCCAGAGCCGCCAGTCTGTCCCCAGTCAGCAGGACGAGGCACGAGAGGCGTTTGGAACAGGGATGGCACCCTGTTCTGGATGTGTGTGTGCGATTTTTTAAAACCCATTCCTTGTGATTCGTGTTCTCTACCTGTCTCCTACGTTTTCTCTCAAGGGCCCCTCCTCAACCGTGTTCCTGCTCATTCCTAGGCTCCCATGTGGCCTCATCCACCCCCTGGGCTTCAACTCCCAGCTCCTGTGTACCGCTGCGGTCCAGACCTCAGCATCTAGGACACTGCGTTTACCAGCTGTCTTCTTGATGTTCCCACCCTACATGACCTATGGGCACCTTCAACTTGACCCTCCTCTCTGTCCCTCAAGCACACTCTAGTGCCTGCAAATTCAGAAGTCTTGATGGTACCAGGCATGATACTGAGGGCTGTGTGTGCATGAGAGGGCAAAGCGGGGAGAGAGCTTTGTTGTAAATGCACAGGCTCTGATTCCAGGCTTCCTGGGTTTAAATCCCAGCTTTGCCACTCACTGGTTCTGTGAGTGACCTTGAGAGAATTACTTAATCTCTCTGTGCCTCAGTTTAACTATCTGTGAGATGAGAAAATAGTGTGTAACTCCAAGGTTGTTGTGAGGATTAAATGAGTTTGTAGATGTGGAAGGACTTAGAACAGCCCCTTGCATGTAGTCCAGGTCTGTTGAACCTTAGCTGCTGTTGACAACTATCCCAATCCTAAAGGACAGCTCATGGCACACCCACGACGACGACGCCTGTTTTACAGATGGGGACATTAGGGGTCAGGAGGCTAAGCACGTGAGGTTCCAGAACATCTTATTGAAAACCAGTGAAGCAAAGGTTTCCTTGTCACACACCATCTCCATTCACCCAGGTCCTGGAGCCAAGACCTAGAAGGGGTCACAGAGCTGAGTTGCTCACATCTGTTGAGTCAAGTTTTATGGACTTGACCCTGTAAGTCTCTCAAACCTCTCCTTTCTCTGCATTCTCAGGATTATTGTCTTTTCATTCCAACCAAGGAACTGTGGTAGTAGCCCCTGAGTGGTGTCCCAGCCTTGTGGCCTGCCCTCTTCATACCCCACACCGCCCCTTGAGTGATGATCTAGAATGTGAATTTGAATGGGCTCTTTTTTCTGATCAGTCTTTCTGTGGTTTCTGAAGCCCCTGCCTGTTGTAGGGGCTCCTCCCCACCCTCTTGGCCCTCCCTTCACACAAAGGCTTCAGCCCCACTTCTCAGCTCACTGCTTCTGGGGTCAGACCTCCTCCTTTTCCTCACTGTCTTTGCCTGCTCGAAATGCCTGCCGTCTCCCCATTCCTTGAACTCCATTGGATCATGTGGTTTGGGACTCTCCATGAGTGCTGTCTGCCTCCAGAAGCCTGCAGGGTCCTGGCGTGACTGTCATGCCTCAGGCCTTGCATTTACAAGAGGCAGGCATAATTGTCTCCGTAGTCGCTAGACAGGCCACTAGACAGCTCCGGAGGACAGAGACAGTATCTTGTCTATCTTGGTGCCTGGGCTCAAGTGAAGCATTTGATAAATGCCTGGAGTAACTCCACTGGGGCCTCCTGCACCATTGTTCTTTCCCCTTTCCTGTTGCCCAGTTACTAAGATCTTACCTGTCCATGCTTAGATTTGCACCTTAAAGATATGTCCTCAGTACATTTAAAAAATTTATATTAACTTAAGGGACTGAGGGGGAATACAAGAAGGGATTACTTTCAGCAAATTGTTTTTTATTCTATTTTTCTTTTCCAATAGTGACTTGAATCCCACCAAGAATTCTGGACCAGAGATTGTTCACGCGAGCAGGTGTGAGAAATATGGTACGTTCCCATGAGCCCATAATCCTTGCACAGTCGGCAGAGTGCTGAGGTGCTCAGCTGAGCTTGTCCTTGACCCTGGTTCCCCCACACCCCTCCCCACCCACCCGCCACACCCCTCCCCACCCCCCCACACCCCTCCCCTCCCCCCCACCTCTCCCCCTGCCCCGCCCCAGGCAGCAGGGGAGGGGGAGGTTTGTGTGGGGTTTTCCTTCACTCTGCTTACTCCATGTAACTCCTGCCCCAAATGAGCGAGCCCAGAATGCATCCAAGAGCCCTGGGAGTTGTCCATTTCCTCCTTAATGTGGTCCTTAGTCTATAAGGCAGCTCTGATCTTGGGGCTTTCTCCACCGTGGGGAGGACCAAGGTGAAGTTGGTGTGTGGGCCTGGAGAAGGGTATGCAGGACCATGGGAGGTTGTATGAGCTGCAGCCACTGTGGATGGTGAGCTAGGATGGGGCGTGTTTCTAATGACTGCTCAATTCTCTGTCCTCCTGGTGGAAAATGCCTCAGTTGAGACAAAGTGCCCCCACGAAGCCGCGTATGATGCCTTCCTCTGTGGGTCAGGTAAGGATTGCGGTTCCTTTAAAAGGAAACTCACTTTTTTTTTTTTTTTTTCTGAGACAGGGTCTCACTCTGTTGCCCAGGCTAGAGTACAGTGGTGAGGATCTCGGCTCACTGCAGCCTCTACCTCCTGGGCTCAGGTGATCCTCCCACCTCAGCTTCCCGAGTAGCTGGGACTACAGGTGCATGCCACCATGCCTGGCTGGGAATACAGGTGCATGCCACCACACCTGGCTAATTTTTGTATTTTTTGTAGAGATGGGGTTTCACCATGCTGCCCAGGCTGGTCTCAAACTCCTGGGTTCAAGCAATCCACCCGCCTCGGCCTCCCAAGGTGCTGGGATTACAGGCATGAGCCACCACACCCAGCTGGAGACTTACTTTTTGTTGGCAGTATGCCCCTGCCGTCCCTAGATTCTACATTTATTTCAGATTGGCTTGCACATAATGAGATAAAGCATAAGCATGCACATTTTGATAAGCTCTATTGCATTTCTGTCTTTTTTCCTTCCTAGTTCTTTTGAAAGTGGCACACTTGCTTCTACAGAAGATATACCAGTAAGTGTTCTTTCTTTTCATCCTACTGTTCAATCGGTGGTCAGGATTTATTGAGCCCTTGCTGGAAGCCAACACCTCTCCAGTCCCAGGGTTCTACCAAAGAAGGGAGAATGTGAGGTGTCACTGGTATAGAAATCTTGTCCCTGACTGGGCAGCAGCCCACAAATGGCTCTGTGCCACAGGAGTAGCCCTTCCTACCACCCCTGTGCCTGCCTGTATGGGTCCTGGCCCCCTCATCCCCGCAGATGTCAGGAGGCCAAGGCAGTGGGGTTAGGCTTAGGTTCTGACACCTGTCTCAGTCCTTCCCAGCCTGGTGTGTGCTTGATTGTCTCTCACTTGCTTTCTTATAGCCATGTAAGCAACAGTGAGGTATGAGGAGAAAGTGTTCAGGTCAATGAATGACATATCCTTTGTTGGGGGCACATAGGCTAGGGAGAGATTAGTGGAACCCCACATTGGAATCTTCAGTGCATTTCCCCATGGCAACACCATCTTTGATGCCTGCAGCCCTGGGCACGTAGGCACCAGAAACACATTAGCAGCGTGCACGCTACAGCACCGTCCTTGGCATGCACGTTAGTTAAGTAGGACTTAGCCAGCCAGGTGAAGGAGCCCATCAAAATTCTAATGTGTGCTTTGGGATTGATGTAGAAATATCTTTTTGGACTATGATCTATTAACTTGGGTACTGCCTATATTTGTCCATTTTAGCAGTGGATGTTATAAATACAAAAGTTCTGTGACACACGGATGGGAAGCTTATTTCTTAAATGTGCCAGCCTAACCCCCTCTCTTGTGGTTTGACTGTTAAAGGGCCCCCTGGTAAGTACGTGTGTGCTGGACAGTGAAGGAGCTAGCAGTGGTGGGGCACCTCAGTGCCTGGTGTCACACATCTTTTATTTCTTTTAATCCTCATGGCCTAAAAGCCCTCCCTGCCTGTCTGTGTGGCCCGTGGTTTTGCCGGGGCCCTGCGCTCAGGTGTGTGTGCTCCCTGGACAGAGGGGGCACTGGCAGTGGGAGGAGGCTGTGGGATGAGGGATGCCCTTTTGGAATCAAAGGTGATGTCTTACCAAGGGGGGACAGCATGGGGCTTTCTCTGAATAGTGGCCTCGCACTGATTCTCTGAGCCTATTGCTGTTTGTCACCAGTGGGACCCTCACCAAACCATCACCAGCAGATGGTGACTGTCTGGAAGCTCTTCTTCTATGTGGCCACGGAGAATGCTTTTAGACTTGCCAGCTGGGGAAGCACCCAACCAGAGCCCCAAGACTTGTGAGGGCAGGAGGGAGGGAGAGCCGTCCGAGGGAGTGTCCTTCTGTTCTGTCACCGGATTCTTGGCTGTGGCCGAGGAAGTGGATGAACTTCTGTGCGCCCGACAGCTTTGGGGTTTTCTGTCCTTGCAGCATCGACCCCGTGCCCGAGTCATCCTTTCCTCAGTACCTTGACGTGCTGGCTCCTTACGTGAACCAAGTGAACCTCATCCGAGCGGGGGTCCCAAAGATCGTGAGTAGATCTCATTTGGCCCCCTCGCCCCATTCAGAGTTCAGAGGCTTTGCTGGGAAGCGGCCAGTGCTCTCTGGGACTCGTGAGAGGGATTTCGGTGGTCGGTGAGATGAGAGCTGGGTTTTTCTTTCCTCTCATGTTTCTCCACTAAAGCCAACATGGACTCATCCTTCCTTCTCTTCCCCTCCCTGCCCCAAGCAGAGCCTTTCCTAGTTTCTTTTGAGATCTTCAGACTGGATAAGAAGTCAGGAAGAACTGTGGAAAATCTCTTGTGTTCTGCATGTTTTCTAGAATTTTTCTGGTCCAGATTATCCCAGTATCCGACCTCCCATCCTCATCCTCAGCGTCAAAAGGTGGCCTGGGGTCAGCGAGCAGCAAGTCTACCATAAGTTTCAGAATCTCTGCAAGTTTGATGTCAGGCGACTCACAAGAAGCCAGTTCTTACTCCTGACCAATAAGTTTAAGGAGTAGGTGCCTCTAAGTCCGCGTCCCCCACCCCTCGTGCGTTCATCCCTGTATCTCTCTGACTCCACCCGCCTGATCACAGCAGGCGGCGCCATCCTGCTGCCTGGCTGACCACAGCAAACTTGTTTTGGCAGTGCGCGGAACATCCTGAAGGAGTACCGGGACCACCCGACCCTGTGCATCTCCCTGTACCGCTACTGGAGGCACTCCCCAAACGTCAACTGCCTGCTCCAGTAAGTGACAGGCTGAGGCCACCTGCCTGTCCTGGGGTCCTGGAGTGCCCGGGGTCCCAGCATCCCAGCATGGTCTGACTCGAGCACAGCTCACTTGCTGGTGTGTGTTGCCAAGGGGGTTGTGTTGACGAGTGTGGTGCCCTGAATGTCCTTCAGTGATGCCGCGTGTCTGTCGAGCACCTGCTGTGCTGGGCACCATCGTAGTTCTAGGGCCTCGTCAGTGAAGCAGAAAATCCCTGCTCTCGTGGAGCTCACGTGCTGGGGGAGACAAACAGGATAAACAAATGGACCCTATAATGTGTTGGGTGACAAGTGTTTATTAAAAATGAGAGAAGGGTCAGGAGTGGGTGGCAGGCTGCAGTTCAAAGGAGCTGATGGGGGTCTTCATTAGAGACTTGGAGTGAGCCAGGCGGAGGGGGCAGCAGGACGGAGCCTTCCAGTCAGGAGGTGCCCGGAGTGTCACGGGGAGAGGCCATTGTGAGCAAAACAGCAAGGAGGGGGATGCAGGAGAAGGAACCAGTGCCCCCCAGCTGGGGGCCACCCAGGGAGGACGTGGGCTTCTCTCAGGAGAGAGGGAATCGCGGAAGTTACAGCAAGAAGGTCTATAACCCGACTCAGGTTGTCTTCCGTGTTGGGGTAGACTGTGGAGGCGAGACGCTGTGAGAGCAGTCAGGAAGGAGATGCTTCAGCTGGGTCACAGCTCGGTGCAGCCAGGGGCAGCGGGGTGGAGTCAGCGACAGACCAGAGAAGGATCAAGTACGAATCCAGGGTTTGAGTCCTGAACAGCTGGAAAGGCAGAGTTGCTGTCAGTTGAGCTGGGTGAGGTTCTGGCTTGCGGGTTAGGGGCACATCCGTTAGAAAACAGCATTGCTGAGGAAGCACAGTGAGCTCCGAGGCAAACCCTTTTTCTTTCAACCTGCGGTTTGCATCCCAGAGCCAGCCTAACCTCGAGAGGCAGAAGTTCAGTGTTGTCGTCGGGAGAGTGACAGCAAGAAAGAACATCTGAGTGCACGGGGCTGGGAAGGAGGAGGGGCAAGCCTGTGTCGGTGCCTCTCGGCCTGCTGGGTGCCCCGGCCACTGACACGTGTCATTGTCTTGCAGAGTCTGTGGCATAGTGACTGCCTGGGCCCTTCTCGCGTTCATCCTTGGAAGATCTGGTACCTGAGTGCAGCGAGGCCTCCTGCGGCCACCCTCGGGTCCCCATGCTCTCTGGGAGGTGTGCTGGGTGTGTTCGTGTAAATCAGATTCTGTTTGCAGATGGATCTGTTTGGTCTTTTCTAGAAATTCTGTTATGTCCTGAACGTGAAATTCTGTCAACACTCTCAATGATAAATCAGTCCTTAGATATCGTACCTGTATGTGTGGTCAGAACTTTTCTTGCTATAAATGCAGGCGGAGCAGTCAGCACCTCGAGATTTAAGCTAATGTCTCAGGAGCAGGTCATTGTGCTAGGAGCTGGACACCAGATGAAGAAAAGGGGACGTTATTTCTGGGGGAAAAACTAATGGCTTATTATTGGCTGTTGTTGACTTAGTTCTGAGAAATGGCCTTCCTAAGTTTAGTAAAGGAAGGATGTGAAGCTTGGAAGAGGGGAAGTCGTGTGCACTGGGGACATTTTTGACAAGTGTTATAAACCGTAAGACATCCACGTGCATTTAGAAACAATGACCCGCAGCCACAGTGTGCACCTTTGACGTTGGCACAGTGGGACACTGTGTCCTCCACAGTGGTCTGCACTACACTCAGCTTTCTCGGTAACTTTTCTCTGTGGGGATCTCGACTCGGCTGGGCTCTTTGCTCAACCTGGAGCTTCACTTGTGGGCTCTGCAAAGCTGATTGAAATTTAGCCTGGGAGACATTTTTCCTCTAGAGAAACAAGCGTTAGTGGTGGTAGCTGTCCACAGGGGGGTTTGGGAACTGCCTTTCCAGAGGTCGCACCCCTTTCCTGAGGGGTGAGGGGCCCGGTGGCCCTACAGGATCCTTTGCGACTTATGATCTGACCGGCCACGCCACACTCGGAACAGCAGCTGTTTCCTCATCTGCTCAAACCGCATTGTAAGGGAGTGTCAGGGTGTTGGGTATTTTGTTTGTTTGTTTGGTTGGTTTTTTTTCATTGAAAGTAACTTGTTTTGAGACAGGGTCTCTGTCGCCCAGGTTGCAGTGCAGTGGCACAATTGTGGCTCACTGCGGCTGCAGCTTCTACCTCCAGGGCTCAAGCAATCCTCCCACCTCAGCCTCTCGAGTAGCTGGCACCACGGATACATGCCACCACACATGACTAATCTAAAACAATTGTTTTTGTAGTGATGGGGTCTCCCTATGTTGCCCAGGCTGATCTTGAACTCCTGGCTTCAGGCCATCCTTCTGCCTCAGCCTCCCAGAGTGCTGGGATTACAGGCGTGAGCCACCAATCCAGGCTGGTTGAACGTAACTTCGCTGAGGAGAATTCCACTTTTCTTTCATGGGCTTTGGGCTTGACTGTGTTTGGGTAAGCCCTGCTTTAAGTACTCTTGCGAGCCCCTCTCAGCTGCCTGTCTTGAGGGCTGTTTGGCATCCCAGCGGTGGAGCAGGGCCGGGCGCTGTAAGCTGTTCCACAGTGCTCTGGAGTTGGAGGCACACAGCACTTTCATAAGGCCTTGTTCATTCACCTCTTCTCTGTTCAGCGTGTCTTCACTGGGCACCTGGTGCATGCCCTTCGGTGCACCATGCTATGGGCAGGGTCCTCATGTCCATGGTGACCTGGCTGACCCCACAGCCCTGTGTCGTGCCTGCTGTTGCCTAGGGCAGCCCTGAGCTGGAAGAGCTGGAAGCTGTGCCACAGCCAGGCTTTGTAGATCAAGTTTACTTTCTGAGCAGTGCTCAGGCGCTGCTGACCAGGGCACTGCTCAGAAATGCTGAGTGGTTCGGGGCCTCCTGCCCTTAGCAGCTCTTGCCCTGCCTAGATGGCGGTGAGGGAACGAGGCAGGCTCTGAGTCTCTCCCAAGGTGCTCTCCCCGCTCCCCTAGCTCTTCAAGGCTGTGTTTTACCTGCAGGTCTCCCTCCAATCAGTAAATGAATAAAACCGAAACAAGGCAAAAAGCCAGCCATTCTTCTCTCCTTCCCTAACTCTATCCCCTCTCCCTGTGGCCCAGCTGGTCTTTCCCTCTCCACCCAGGCTTTCGAGCACGTGCTTTCCATCGTTCTCGCCCCTGCTGCCCGGGGCCCAGCCAGTCATTAGGGCTCCCTGGCTTCCCTCTCACTCCTCCATGGCCCTGGGTGGTGCAGCTCCTCTGGACGCTCTCCCCAAGTCTCTGGTCACTCTCTTCTCGATTGCCCTCAACTCTTCCCCTGGCCCTTTAGATGTTGGTGTTCAAGGACCTGGCACCATCCGCCGTGACAGTGCCGGGCCCCAGCATGACTCTGAAGTTTGTTCTCAGCTAACGTCTCTCTCCTGGGTCCCAGTTCACCTACTGAGCCTCTAGATTTTCCCACAGACACGCCAAGCTCCACACAGGCAGGATGGATCACTTTCCCTCCAACTCACCTGCCTCGATGGAGGTTGTGAGCACCTCCCCAGCTGTAGCTTCCAGCTCCTAAACTCTCCCCACCTCCCTGCCCCGCCTCTGAGCAGCCACTCACTTGCAGCTCCTAGACTCTCCCCGATCCCTGCCCCTCCTCTGAGCAGCCACTCACTGGCAGCTTCTGTCTTCGTGCAGTTCTCCTGGCTGTCCAGACCCCCTTCACATTACCTAGACAGTTTCAGGGTCTCCTCAGTTCTGGGAGAGCCCTGCCTGCCTCCTCTTCTCCCTTTTCTGCTGTGGCCCTCACGGACATAAGTGGGCTCCAGAAGGCAAATCTGGTCATCTCTCCTGCCCAAGCTCCTTCTGTGGATTCTGCCCCAAGTCCACAAGCCCTTTCTCTCTGTATTTGGGGCCCTGCTGTGTCTCTGGTCCCCCACGGGTGTCTGTCCTTGGGATCACTGTTTCTCTTCCTCTTCTCTGAGCCACTCACCACTTGACCCAGCTCAGTGGACATCTCCTCTAGGTTCTAGGTCACTGTTGCCTGCTGTACCTGTCAGGTGTCGGGGGCTCAACCTGTCTGAGTGCCTCTTGCCTGTCCCTGCTAGAGCACTTGGTGCTGTGTGGCAGTGTCCCCTGGCCTGGCCCTGCACAGGTGGGCAGTGGAGTTCTGGAACCTGCAGGGGCCCTCAGTATCCTCACAAGCCAGTGCTCCCCATGGCTGGAGGCTCTGCTGTGTTTTTCGACAGGGATTTGAGTTTGTTGCTGCTGCTCAGGTGAGGTGCTTTGAAAATGGCCTTGAGTAACTGATGTGCTTCTGCAGCAGAGGGAAAAGACAAATGGCAGCCTCCGAATCTGCCCAGCCCAGGGTGTTCTCACTGACCCACACGACCTGATCACTTAGAAGTGATGTGATTTCATGTCCTTGTTCTTACAATTTTGGTTCTTGTTTGTGGTTTAAATTATTTCTGTGAGATTTTTGGTATGAGAAAGAAAGTGACTAGAAATAGCCTTAAATGATCTTAAAATTAGCTAATCTTTCTCTTTACATCCTTCAGGTACTAAGTTCAGGCTGCCGTAACAAAAATACCATAGACAGGGTGGCTTAAAAAACAGAATCTTATTTCTCACAGTTCTGGAGGCTGGGAACTCTGAGAGCTGGCGCCAGCTGAACTGGCTCCTGGAGAGTGCTCTCTTCCTGGGCTTGTGGAGGGCTGCCTTCTTGCTGCATCCTGGCGTGGCAGAGACAGCGAACATCTCTCTCACTTCTCTTCTTGTAAGGGCACTAATCCAATAAGAGGGCCCCACCCTCATCACCTCATCACCTCCCAAAAGGCCTCACCTAAGACCATCCCCTTAGGGGTTAGGATTTCAACCTGGGAATTTGGGGGAAACACAAACATTCAGTCCATAGCAAGTATCTTTCCTTTTCTCTGAAAGATACAGAGGTTCATATCATTTATTGTTACTACAGAAAGCTTTTCTCTTTCTCTGTGGTCTTTTTAGCTCATGAGACAGCAATACTAATTTTCTTGGCATGAAGTATGTGGTAGAGGTTGTAAATTTTGAGATACTTTCTAAGGGGAAAAAAAGGCTGTTACTTTCTAACCACTAAAATCCTTTGTGTAATTTTCTATAAGTTTGTCTGAAAATCCACTGTAAGACTAATTAAAACCTCATTTTTTTGTATGGTGGTGACTTGCCAAATTAAAAATTATCTGGGGCCAGGCATGGTGGCTCACGTTTGTAATCCCAGCACTCTGGTAGGCTGAGGTGGGCGGATCACATGAGGTCAGGAGTTCGAGACCAGCCTGGGCAACATGTTGAGCCCCTATCTCCACCAAAAAATACAAAAATTAGCTGGAAGCAAGGTGGAGTGGCTCACATCTGTAATCCCAGCACTTTGGGAGGCCGAGGTGGGTGGATCACCTGCAGTCAGGAGTTCGAGACCAGCCTGGCCAACATGGTAAAACCCTGTCTCTACAAAAATACAAAAAATTAGCCAGGCATGGTGGCGGGCACCTGTAATCCCAGCTACTTGAGGGGGCTGAGGCAGGAGAATCACGTGATGAACCCAAGAGGCAGAGGTTGCAATGAGCCGAGATCGCACCATTGCACTCCAGCCTGGGCAACAACAGAGAAACTCCATCTCAAAAATAAATAAATAAATATAAAAATAAAAATTAGCCAGGCGCGGGCATGCCTGTGCTCCCAACTACTCAGGAGGCTGAGGCCGGAGAATCGCTTGAACCCGGGAGGCAAAGGTTGCAGTGAGCCGAGATCGTGCCACTGCATTCCAGCCTGGGCAAGAGAGTGAGACTCTATCTCAAAAAAAAAAAAAAATTATTTGGGAAAATATAACAATCAGGAAACTTCTGAAAAAGATAAGTGACCAAGATGACTTGTCCCACCTGCCGTATGGGAGTACATTGATCCAAGCTGTGCATTTTCTACCATTTTCACATCGTTGAGATTGGGTTATTTCTTACAGTCAATGGTGTGTGTTAATTTAATTGGTGTTTTCTTAATGTGCACAAAATTGGTGCCTTTGTAATTGCATGTTGATGAGACTATGGCGTAAAGTTATAATTAATACATTGTGAGATTGGCATAGTAATAGAATCTAGGTAAGAAATAGACTGAGTGCATCTGGGAATTTTGCTGTGATAAAGGTACCATATTAAATCTGGGACAAAGAGCCGTTTAGAAAAAAAAAGCCAATTCTTTAGTCCTTACACCAAAATAAATTAGACATGTCATATATTTAAGGTTAAGAAAGGCAAATCATATAAAAGGAAATGAAAACGATTTAATCTTGGGATGAAGAAGGGCTTTCTAAGCATGAAACAAAAGCTTCAAGTGGTAATTAAATAGTTGATTGATTTGGTGCAACCATGTCTCATGTTGTCTGAGACATCCTTCACTGGAGAGTGACCACTGTTTTGTGTTCCACTAAGGGATAAATGCTGCCGGGGAGGTTTTTGTCCCTCATCCTAAGATACACCCTGATCTCAAAGATGTTGAAATGGAGGGAAAGTGCGTCTTGGAATGGGTGAAATACAGAAAAATACGCTTACTTACAACCAAAAATCTAAAAACCACCCAAAACTACTTGAACATGGGAAGCAAGCATTGTCACGGTGGGTTAGTTGCAGGACAGTTTTGGCAAAACTGGGGTGGCCTTGCTGCTGCCACTGCAACTGCTACTCTAGTTTTTGGCGGTTTACCCTGAGGGGGTTACGAGGATGCTGCTGGTGGTGGTGGACGAGAGGCAGGAGCCGGCGCTGGGGCCGGGTGGTCTGCAGACTCTCGTCCTCTCCTGCGCCTCCTCACGTCGGTTAGAGCCATCGGCCCTCCTCTGTCCCCTGGTACTTTCAAGTGCTTATCATAATGTAGAGAGGTAGATTTGTGTCCCTAACTCCCCAGTGTGCCTTCCCTACAATGCAGCTTCTCTCCAGAGCGGGGTGCCTCCTGCTCATGTGGGCTGGCAGCACCACTGAGGGCCTGGGGCTGGCCCAGTCCCTGCCCACTGTCTAGTGGGGCGACAGTACACAAGCAATGGCTGTAAAGGTCAGCATGTCCTGGCTAGGGAGGGGCTGGGGCGTCCCCGCCAAGGGCACCTAATCCAGAACAATTCCTAAGGATGAGCGACAGGGAGGATGTTTTTGTCATGAGCACAGGAAAACCACTGTGTTAGTCTGTTCTCCCACTGCTATAAAGAAATACCCAAGACTGGGTAATTTGTAGGAAAAGAGGTTTGATTGGCTCACAGTTCTGCAGGCTGTACAGGAAGTGTGGTGCTAGCATCTGCTTCTGGGGAGGCCTCAGGAAGCTTTTACTCATGACGGAAGGTGAAGCAGGAACAGGCTTCAGATAGTGGATGCAGGAGAAAGAGAGGGGGCGGAAGGGGAAAGTGCCACACACTTCTAAACAACCAGATCTCGGGTGAACTCAGAGCCAGAGCTCACTCATCACCCAAGGGATGGCCCAGGCTGTTCATGAGAACTCTGGCCCCGTGAGCCGGACACCTCCCACTAGACCCCCACCTTCAGCATTGGGGATTATAATTCAACATGAAATTTGAGGGGGGACAAATATCCAAACTGTATCAACCACATACAGTGTGGTCATGAGTACACTGGAAAAACCTGAGAAGGTGCACCCCAAAATGTTAGGGAATGACATTGCTGAGCAATTACTGCACACCCGATGCTGAATAAAGTCCTTTGCAGTTATTAATTCATGTGCTCCTCACAGTAACCTTCCAAGTAAGTACTCTCACTGCCCAGTGACCTTCCAAGTACTGTCACTGTGCCCGCATAGGACGGAGACGCCTGACACCCACAGGGCGGGTGCTTGGCCTTGGCACGCCCCGGCCAGCGGTGGGCAGCTTCTCTTGATGCCACACTGCCTGCAGGGTCATGAGTTATTTCAATTTTCTTTTTTTTTTTTTTTTGTTTTATATTGGAGTTGTCTATCGTGAATATATATGGTGTAATTTCAAACTGGTTTAAAAAAACAAGGCAAGTCGGGCAGCATCCACAGGACTGCAGCTCGTGCCTCAGGCTCAGGCTCAGCCCCGGCGCCTCCTGGCGGAGTGGGGCCCTGGGGCTCTCCCAGGCTGCTCTTTGGCTGCGGCTTCTGTTCCAGCTGCAGCCATGTGGCTCTTGTGTCCCACCTGTCATCTTGAGACTCGTCCAGCTCTTGAAACCACAGTTGGTGCTGAGCTGCTGCAGCACTCCAGGTATGGAGGGAGGAGTGGTTCTCAAAAGACTGTTTCTCTTCTCCATAGGAACAGAGCTATAGAGTATTTGTCCTTTCTTGCACTGCTATAAAGAAATACCTGCCAGGCACGGTGGCTCACACCTGTAATCCCAGCACTTTAGGAGGCCGAGGCATGCAGATTACTTGAGGTCAGGAGTTCGAGACCAGCCTGGCCAACATGGTGAAACCCTGTCTCTACTAAAAATGTAAAAATTAGCAGGCGTGGTGGCATGAGCCTATAATCCCAGCTACTTAGGAGGCTGAGGCAGGAGAATCACTTGAACCCAGGAGGCGGACATTGCAGTGAGCTGCGATCATGCCACTACACTCCAGTCTGGGCGACAGAGTAAGATTCTCTCAAAAAAAAAAAAAAAAAAAGAAAAAAAAATACCTGAGACTGGGTAATTTATAAAGAAAAGAGGTTTGACTCACGGTTCCCTAGACTGTACTGGTAACATGGCTGGGGAGGCCTCAGGAAACAAAATCATGGCAGAAGGCGAAGGGGAAGCCCGCACATCTTACATGGCTGGAGCAGGAGGAAGACAGAAGGGGGAGGTGCCACACTCCTTTAAACAACCAGAGAACTCACTAGCACAAGAGCAGCAGGGGGCCGTTCACCCCCAGGATCCAATCGTCTCCCACCAGGCCCCTCCCCCAACACTGGGGATTCCAATTCCACGTGACACTTAGGTGGGGCAAAGAGCCAAACCATATCAAGCATCATCTGCTGCCTGTTTTTATGGCCAAAGAACTCGAGTGATCTGGATCTTTGGATTGCTGACCTTTAAATAACTCGGACTGTTGTTCTGTGATGGAATCTGGGGGATGGTGGTGGTTGGCAGGAAACACTAATAACCTGTAATCAATCATCTCTCCCCTCTTCTAACACCTGTGATTATTCCTGTGTAGGCAAGAAAAGGTGTACTATATAAGGTATTCTCAGTTATCCTTTAAAAAGACTAATAAAATATGTTAAAATGTTATCTCTCGAGGGGCTCCTGGTGATTTCGAATTTCTTTGTCATATATTTTTCTGTACTATAAAAATCTTGAGTGTGCATCCCTTCAAAACCAGAAATGTACTATTTTTAAAAAATTAGTACATAGAACTTAGCATCTGAGTGATGACAGTTATATTTTAAAAGTGAAATCGGCCATGCGTGGTAGCTCACGCCTGTAATCTCAGCACTTTGGGAGGCCGTGGCAGGTAGATCACCTGAGGTCAGGAGTTCAAGACCAGCTTGGCCAACATGGTGAAACCCCGTATCTACTAAAGAAAAACACAAAAATTAGCTGGGTGTGGTGGTGAGTGCCTGTCATCCCAGCTACTCAGGAGGCTGAAGCAGGAGAATCACTTGAATTCAGGAGGCGGAGGCTGTAGTGAGCTGAGATCGCGCCACTGCTCTCCAACCTGGGCGACGAGTGAAACTCCATCTCAAAAAATAAAAAATGAAAGTGAACTTAAAGGCCAGGCACAGTGGCTCACACATGTAATTCCAGCATTTAGGCTGAGGCAGTTGGATTGCCTGAGCTCAGGAGTTCCATCCCAGGCTGGGCAACATGGCAAAACCCCATCTCTACCAAAAATACAAAAAGTTAGCCGGGCATCATGGTACCCACCTGTGGTCCCAGCTACTCAGGAGAATGAGGTGGGAGGACCACTTGAGCCTGGGAGGTAGAGGTTGCAGTGAGCCAAGATCACGCACCACTGTACTCTAGCCTGACAGAGTGAGACCCTGTCTCCAAAAAAAAAAAAGAAAAGAAAAAAAAAAGTGAACTTAAAGCTGAAAGAAAACGCACAGAAGTCTTGGTGGGGGCTACCCAGAGTAGGTGGACCATATGGTTTTATTTTCTGTATATTTAGGGATCTTTTTACCATTTTTTTTTTTACAATGAGCATGTATTTCTATCACTTTAAACATGAAAATGCATTAAAATTTTTTTGTTGAAAATAGAGCTCTCTTGTCCTGCTTGTGGGGACAGCCCTGTGAAATATCTTTAGTTCTTATTTAATTGCATTTTACTGGACACAGTCATGCCTACTTCTTTACATTAGTTTCCTGTTTCCTGCTGTAACAAGTCATCACAAATGTAGTGGCTTAAAATAGCACACAATTACCATTTTGCATTTCTGGAGGTTAGAAGTCCAACACAGCTCTCGGGGCTAAAATCAAGAAGTCGGGGCGGAAGGGCTGTGTGCCCTTCCAGAGGCCTCAGAGAGAAGCTGCTTCCTCCCCTTTTCCAGCTTCTAGAGGTCACCAACATTCCCAGGATCGTGGCCCTGTTCCTCCATCTTCAGCAGCAGCAATGTGGAATCTCTCTGATCGATCTTTCTGTAGCTTCGTCTCCTCTGACCACAGCAGGGAATGCTTTGCCATGCTTTAAGACCCATGTGATTAGGCGGACCCTCCTCCTCGGATGACCCTGGATAAACTCCCCATCTCAAAGCCCTTAATTATGTCTGTAGAGTCCCTCTTGCCACATCAGGTGCTATACTCACAGGTTCTGGGGTTAGGCTGTGGGCACTGGGCATCTTTGGGGAGCCATTATTCTGCCTGCCACATTCTCCAGCGACACACTGATGAAGCACCTGCCCAGGTAAGTGCTATTCCTACCTCATACTCCCCAGTGAGTGGGGTTAGCCCTGCGCAGTGAGTGGGGTTAGCCCTGCCCAGGAAGCAGGGTCTGATGCGGCTGAGCTGGTTACAGGCCTTGCAGACTGCGTGGCCACCACGGTGACCCAGCACCCACCATCCACCCAGTCTCCTGCGTCGCTGTTCTGGAAGCTCTGCCGCGGTGCTGGATGGCTTCACCCGATTTCAGCATTCGGAAGCTCCCCTAGAGGTCCCTCATTCTGCCCCATCCCTGCCCCAGCTCTTGCTATTGTTTGCCTTTATCCCTTTTTCCTACAGGAAGAACCAGATTCAAACATTTGCCTGCTGGCAATAGTGTTTCTGAGGAAGACACTGTGAGGGGAACTGCGGGCCGAGCCTGCTCTGAGCGCAAGATAGTAGGAGAGCTCTCTGGCACACAGCTGCCTACTCTGTCCCTACTCTCCCCTGGGAGAGAATCCCTGGTGTAGACTTAGTCCTAATCCTCAGAAGAGCTCCCCCAGTGTGTGATGTGGCTCTGCCAAAGATCGTGAGAAAGTGGAGATCCAAAAACAAGTATTCTCTGGGCAGCACAAGCCAGATAAAGTTGTTCTCAAGTTGGCTCTGGCTGGGTTTGTGGAGGGCACAGAGGCTTTGACATGTGAGCTTGTAAAGATGCTTTCTTTCCCATCCCAGGGAGCTGCCCAAACCTTCCTCGCTGCTGAGGCCGTGTCCTCAGCCCAGTGGAGCAGCAGCAGTGGCCACTGCCTGCGTGACCCTGCTGAGACCTGTGCTCGTAGTCAGATGGGATGTTCTGAACTCCTGGAAGCCAGAGGTTATAGTTTTTTAAAGACTAAAAAAGGAATATTGTATTGTGTAAAACAGAAAAGGAAGGGAAGCACTCATTCTCCCATTCCCTTATTGATCAATTTGGGCTTGTTCCTGTCTCTAAAATCTGCATGTGTTTTATACTGGAAGACCCTGGAGCGCAGGCTTTCATTCCATGCAAATGTACCTGCTCTGTACCAGGCACTGTTCCAGATGCCCCGGCTGCAGCCATTAAAGCAAAGATTCAGGAATTTGCATTTGTGTGGAGTCATTAGACAAGCAACGAGATGAGAGTGCCTGTGAGGTGATCAAGTGCTGGTTACAGAGAAACTTGGAGGAGAAGTCGGGTGCTGCCTTCCAGTGCTCAGGCAGGGTGCGCAGAGAAGGGGATGCCTGAGCAGAGACCTGGCAGAGATCAGGGCTGAGACACCTGCCCGGCTGTGGACAGAGCTCCAGGTGCTGTCTGGCCCAGGGCCCAGTGGAAGCACCTGGCCCTGCAAAGAGGCTCCAGCCACCAGGATGGCTGAGAGAACTTGGGTGGGTGAGGCAGGAGCCAAGGCCAGGGAAGAAGTGGAGGGCCGGTCAGGTGGGGCACAGAAGGCACTGGTGATTGCTTTGACTTCTCAGCAGAGGTGTGAGCCATTGAGGGGCTGCCAGCTCAGGGTGATAAGGTCTGGCTGACTAGGGAAGGAGGAAGGCAAAAGAGGTGGCTGTGGCCCAGTGGGGAGGTGTGCAGGGGCTCTAGATCTGGGTGTATTTTGACAGTGGAGCTGCTATGATGTCCTGACAGAGTGAATGTGGAGTTAAGAGAAAGAGGGGTCAAGAATGATAAAGTTTTGGCCTGAGCCAAGGTGTGGAGTTGAGGTAGAAGGTGGGACTTGACTCCGGAGGCAGGGCTCAGACACCGGGCCAAACTGAGGACTAGCTAAAACAGGTTATAGGGGAAGCAGTTTTCCAGAAAACACACCCATCAGTGTGCCATGTCAGTTTACCATTGCCATGGCGACACCCAAAAATTATTGCGCCTTTCCATGGCAATGACCCAGTGATCAGGAAGTTACCACCCTCATCCTAGAAATTTCTGCATAAACCACCCCCTAATTCATGTATAATTAAAAGTGGGTGTAAATATTAGTGCAGCCCTAAATCTGAGCTGCTCCTCTGGACACACTTCCTGGAGAGTGCCCTGTACCGCAAGGAGCAGTGCCTCTGCTGCTCCTGGATGCTGTGGCTTCAATACAAGTTGCTGTTGAACACCACTGGGTAGCTCTTGAATTCTTTCCTGGGGGAAGCCAAGAACCCTTCCGGGCTAAGTCCCAATTTTGGGCTTCACCTGTCATGCATCAGAGTTGCCATCTGGTTGTATCTAAATTGTTTTATCTCTGTGCCTGTGAATGACACAATGCTGTTGTTTCTCCTTTATTGGGGATTAGGGAAAGCAGAAAGGTGGAAGAAGGAGATGAGAGCCTCATCCAGAGCTGCAGGGCCAGGCTGAGGGCCAGGGTGCCTGGGTTCCCTAACAATGCACACCCCTCCCTTTAAATTTCCTATTTTGTGGGCACAATGGTTCACACCTGTAATCCCAACACTTTGGGAGGCTGAGGCAGGAGGATTGCTTGAGCCCAGGAGTTCGAGATCAGCCTGGGCAACATAAGGAGACTCCATGTCTAAAAATATAATAATAGTAATTTTCTTATTTTGTGTGTTTTATCATATATGCAATATATTAGTACATGGAATACATGTATGTACATTATTAATACATGTGCACAGCCAGGGTTTGTCCTCAGCTTTGTTTCAGTGATAAGGAAATAGGATTGAAATAGTTTGGAGACCGTTTGCTCTAGTAATTTCCCTGGGTTCAACGTCAACATGAGGAGTTTGACAGGGATTTATGAGAAGCCTTGGAGGCTGGTCCATGGTTAGCCACACCCAGACCTGTAGGCACAATGTCTTCAAGATCTGATGAAGTCTGACGCTACCTCCTGAAAGGGACACCCTCAATCCTGGCCGTCTTCCCTTCAGCTATTTTTTGGGTGGAGCAGAAAAGAGGTTTAACTGGCGGGTGAAATTGCACATACTTCACAGGTGGTGTCTCTCTTCTTTGGCTGGCAGTAAGGGAAGGAAGGCCCTCTGCAGCATAAAGCACACTCATCATGCCTAATCAGCGCAAGCAGGCAGGAAACAAGTGGAGCCTATCAGAAGGCAGAGTTGGACACTCCTAGCATGAAAAAAGCATTCAAAGTATTTATTCACTTATTTTATTAGAGACAGGGTCTCAATCTGTTGCCCAGGCTGGAGTGCAGGGGCATGATCATAGCTCACTGCAGTCTTCAACTCCTGGGCTCAAGTGATCTCCCTGCCTCAGCCTCCTTAGTAGTTGGGACTACTGGCACCCACCACTGCTCCCTATTAATTTTGAAAAAAATTTAGAAATGGAATCTTGCCATGTTGCCCAGGCTAGTCTCAAACTCCTGGCCTCAAACAGTCCTCCTGCCTCAGCCTGCCAAGGAGCTGGGATTATGGGCTCAAGTCATCATGCCCAGCCAAAGTACTTATATTTAATATAAGATTTCAATCAGTTCTATCTGAGGACCTAATTGGAGAGGGCCCTGGCACTTAGGAAGTCCAGCTCTATAAAAATTGGAGCTGCAATTCTCCAGCGGTTAGTCAGAGTCCAAGCTTCCACGATCCTGCTCACCAGATTTCTACCATGGGAAGCACATTCTGAAATTTGCCTCACTGCTTGTTCTAGTGGCCAGTCTGAGAACCTCCACAAAGCTTCACTCTAGAGATTTAAAGGGTTATAAATACAGCCAAAATGAATTCACAAACCATGAGCTCAAATGTGCACATGTAAGTTCCTTTAACTCAATTTAATTCCTTGCTGCAAGCTCCCATTCTGCCCAAGCAGAACCCATAATTTAGGCAATACCAGATAAACGCTGCCCATTCAGGGCTGTTTCCCTTTGGTGTCCACCCTCCTCCCTACCCTAAGACAGAGGCTAAGCTCTGAGAGGCAGATGCAAAGGGCATGAAGTTGGGGGAGAGCGGTGGGGGGTCAGTTTGGACTTCTCTCTGTCCTGATTCTAAGCCAGTAGCCTTTGAGGTGTGACTTACCTGGGTGGCCTTCATATGCTCCCACCTGTACATGGGCTGGGAGGCAGGGGCTTCCTCTGGGATCTCTGTGGCGATGGGCCACCCAATCTCTGCCACTGGCTGCCCTTATCTCAGCTGAAAGGCCCCCAAAGGTGCTTCAGATCCCTCATATTCTCTCTTCTTCCCCTCCTCCCCACTGCCGCCCCCCACCCCTCCCTCACCCCCCACCATTTCCTGTGGCAGGTGGAAGGGCTGTCTGGCTTCCTGCACACCCCTACAGCTCACTCTGGATACCTCTTGTAGCCTCTCTGTGAATGTCACATGAGGGACCCTGGTGAGGCTGCCATGTCAACTACCTGAGTTCTAGAAAGACCAACCAGGTGACAGGTACGCTCTGCGTGAGAATCTATTAAGAAAAAAATTATCCAAAATGTGGATGTCAGGCAAAAACAAGCCACATGACTTTTTTTTTCTTTTCTTTTTTTTTTTCTGGAGACAGGTTCTTGCCTTGTTACCCAGGCTGAAATGCAGTGGGGCACAACTGTAGCTCACTGCAGCCTCAAACTCTTGGGCTCAAGCAATCCTCCCATCTCAGCCTCCCAAGTAGCTGGGACCACAGATGTACGTTACAATGCCCATCTAATTTTTTAGGTTTTTTTTTTTTTTTTGTAGAGATGAGGTCTATGTTGCCCAGGCTGTCCTTGAACCCCTGGACTCAAACTCCTGGCCTCAAGCAATCCTCGCACTTCAGCTTCCCAAAGTGCTAGGATTGCAGGTGTGAGCCACTGCGCCCAACCCACATGACTTTCATTGTCATACTAACAAGCTCACCTGGAGTCGTTTTATTTTAAGCCAATGTAACTTTGATTGGCTTATTAGTTTCTACCGATTAGAGGCCAAACATTTTACAATCCTGTAAAGTTAGGTGTTCACTTTTTGAAAACTGATAAGATGCAAATAATTCTTGTCCAATAACAACGAAAATAGTTCTTGCTCATAGGAGAGGATAACCCCAAAACCTGTGGTTTTATTGTCCTATAGGACACTAATCAGTCTATATGTAGCTTTGCAATTTCCCTCTAGCATTCTCTTTGTTGTTTTTGTTCACTTACCAGTTCACACTTCAGTCTCTCACCTCCCCTTTAAACTGGTTCCCATCGTTATTGCGAGGCCTGGAGGCACCTATCTTCATTCTCACTCCTTCCCTGCCCAATGCCAGGGATCCAGCAACAGACAAAAACCCAAGTTTTCCTAACTCTTTCCTGGCTCCTTTTTCCTCCACCTGAAGTGGAGGTGCTGCAGGTGCTGCCTGAGAAGCCAAGAGGCCTGGAGGAGAGGAGGAGGGAAAGCAGCTTTGTTGAATAGGACAGACTTGCAAATCTTTCCTGTTTTATTTTTAGCTTAAAAGCCAATAACTGATTTCTTTGTTTCTCTGGTTCGCCCATTGCTCACCACGTCTAAATGAGAAAGTACATTTCAAGGCCACCATACAATTGTCCAAAAAGGCCTTCAATATGGAATAATCCACTTTATTATCCCATGGCTGCTCTCCTGCCTGGCTGCCCAGATGGGGTAGGGGGAGCCTACGGTAAACAGCACATGAGAGAAGGAATATATCAATGGATCTTCACATAATGCTAATACATGAGATTTGTATCTGAGAAGGCCCCGGGCAGTCTGTTTTCTTCTCAATTTCATTGCCATTGGCCAGGAATTTTCTTGAATGCCCAACTGTCTTTATCAAGACAGGAATTGGGATACAATTTGCTCAAACATTAAAGAAAATGGTTGTTGATTTGCCAGTAGTCAGTTGGCAAGAGAAGAAAAACTTTATTTCTTTATTTGTAAAATGGCAATAATGTAACAGGATACATTTTGGAGATTTTATTTTTCTATTATTATTATTATTATTATTTTAGTTTTTAGTAGAGGCAGGGTTTCACCATGTTGGCCAGGCTTGTCTAGAACTCCTGACCTCAGGTGATCCACCCGCCTCGGCCTCCCAAAGTGCTGGGATTACAGACGTGAGTCACCGCGCCTGGCCATTTTGGAGATTTTAAAGCTGAGGTTCCTGCTCCTCCTATCACAGCTCTTTATCCACCATAATCAGGAATATTAACTGTCCCAGGGGGATGGTAGGCTATAGCCTCTACCAAAAAGTCAAATTCTTGGCTTCTGAGTTTAATCTATGTAGGATTTTGGAAGACAGAACAGAGGCAACTGTATGAAAGCCAGAGTGCTTTTGATTTGCAAAGCTGACTCTTGAGAGAGGTTTTACTTCATGTTTTTCACAATGCTGAAAACTTGGCATGGCATATCCCCAGCAGAGCCTCCTGGATGCTGCCCAGTTTGTGAGGGAAGTCATGGGTAGAAAAATGCACGATGATAAGGAGCCGTTTTCCATCCAAGAAGAGATACGTGCTCGAGCAGCCGCGCGGGGGAGGCCAGGGCTGGAAGGCCCAGGGTCTCCGAGGAGCTGTAGAAAAGAAGCCTGGAGGGACCCCGGAGCAGAAAGGCTACTGGGGGCTTCCCAGGGAGTGGGTGAGACCCCACAACAAACAGGAACGGCGAGGCGTGGCGGGGGGGTGGGCCGAGGGCAGGAGCTGCTAAGTGTCCTGCGACTTTCTATCAGGCAGCTTCGCATCAGGAAACCATAACCCACTTTAGGGAGTTGGATGCGCTGTTTCAGTTCTACAGACGATGGAAGAGCCAAAAGGCTGCACAGGGAACGAGACGGGCCCCAGAGCTTAGTAACACCCGAAATCCCCATGGCCCCTTGGGAGGGCTGGGAGGGAGGCGGGTGCTGCGGGGGCTGTGGAGGTCCTGCAGGTGCTGCCTGAGAAGCCAAGAGACTGGGTGAGAATGGATGACATCAGCTGGCTCCCCCATTCCTCCTGCCCCCACCTCCCCGCAGGGCATCCCACTGACTGAATCCAGCTGACGGTGGCTGGCAAGTCACCTGGGGCGGGGGGCCTCCAGACAGAGCGTGAGAAAAGTGAGATGTGGCTCTCAGGGCGCAGAACTAGCTCGCCCCAAGGGGACCACATCAGCTCTGGGGGACCAAGATGCAGCAGGGGAGCGCCACGCGAGCAGGAGCCCACGCCAGGACGTAGGATCTCGGCAAGGAGGCAATGCATGACTGTGAGGACCAGCAAGAAACAGATTTCACAGAAGCCAGCAGAGGAAGCCAGAGGACCGGGTGCTCCTTCCCTGTGGCAGGAGCAGGAACCATCCGCCCTCCCCAGAGGGCTGCCATCACCTCCAGGGAGACGAGGAAGCGTCGGAGGAAGGGACTCCTGAGAAACTGAGTTCTGAATTGGTAGGACTGAATATTTTCGACCTCACGACCTAGGAAATGGAGTTATTTTTAATTGTGGAGAAATTATGAAGGGACATTTCTTCACATCCAAGTCTGTGGTTGTGAAAGTAGTGCCAGTAGTGTTAATGTCAACCTTGCCGTTTTCGTGTTTGGTGAGATGGTGTATGTGAGATGCTTATAGTGGCCCGGTGCAGTGGCTCACTTTGGAAGGCCGAGGCAGGGGGATTGCTTGAGCCAGGGAGCTTGAGACCGGCCGGGGCAACACAATGAGACCTCCATCTCCACAAAAAATTTTAAAAATTAGATGGGTGTGGTGGTGCACGCCTGTAGTCCTAGCTACTTGGGATGCTGGGGTGGGAGGATCTTTTGAGTCCAGGAGTTGGAGCAGGCTGCAATGAACTATGATTGTACCACTGCACTCCAGCCTGGGCTACAGAGCGGCATCCTGTCTCTTAAAAAAAAAAAAAATGCTTAGCACAGGTGCATACAGTGGTAATTATTATCCCTTTCTAATCAACTAAAAATATATTTCATGTGTGAGTTTGTTACTAAACACCAGGGGTTCAGTCTAGGTCACCTTGCTTACTGCTCAGAAAGCTAATACTGAGACAAAAAGTATTGCCAGGGAAGAAGGCTCTAATGTATTATGGATGATACCAGCTGTAGAATCCAGAGCCAAACCTCAAATCCATCCCTCCCTCCCAACTAACGTCAGGGGTTTATACAGCCAGGAAGAAAAACAGGCAGGGCAAGGAGGAGGAGTTGGTTAACAGGTAGGAGGTGGTTGAATGGGTTGGGGGAGGGGGCTCTAGCCTCTCATGGTAGGTACTTGTAGGAAATCAGGAATTAGGGAGTAGTAAGGAAGTTGGTCAACAGGCAGCAGATGTGTCTTATAGTGCAAAGGTAAGTTTCTCAAGCTTCAGTTCTATGGGCATCCAGCTTATTGGAAGATTGGACTTGTTTCCATTTCAAGTACAGCCTATGATGCTTTTCTCTCCAGGCAGAGTCAGTGCATGCAAAGCCCCATTCAACCTCCAGGTCTCAGCCTAAGTGTCGTCTCCCCAGAAGGGCTTGCCCTCCTCCCCAGTTCAGCATTACTCCCATTATCCTACTCTGTGACAGCACCTTGTGCTTTTCTTTCACCGCGTTTGTCACGGTGTTGGAAATGACATGTGTGTTAGTTTGTTTGATGTTTGTCTTCCACCCTCCTGTCCTGCCACCGTAAGCCCCATGAGAGTGGCAACCTGGCCGATTTTGTTGTTCATGTTATTCCCAGTGCTAGCCCAGGCCTGACACAGCGTGGGTGCCTAATATTTGCTGAATGGAAGAAATGAATGAGTGGAGGAAGAGGGATACTGTGAAGATGAAGTGAAACAATCCGGTAGACCACCACACAGCACACACAAGTACTTACTAATAGTAGCCATGATTATTAGATCTATTATGTGCTCAGTATGAAAATTCGAAGGATCCTTGGATAACATAAAGCCCTTAAAAGAAATTAAGAGATCCTCAAATTATCTTATTCTTCTGAATCACCCTATATCATCAGTCCAACTCATAGGGATGACTCATAGTTAGGACTTCCGTGATAAGAGTTGAGAAGACAGCAGTCTCTTCTCTAAAGTCTGGAGTACCCATCTAAAGAAGGATCATAGAAAGGGCCTAACTATATTACAATCTAAACAAGGGCCCCAAATTCCCATTTTGCTTTTTTTTTTTTTTGAGACGGAGTCTTGCTCTGTCGCCCAGGCTGGAGTACAGTGGTATGATCTCAGCTCACTGCAACCTCCACCTTCCAGGTTCAAGTGATTCTCCTGACTCAGCCTCCCAAGTAGCTGAGACTACAGGCACCCGCCACCACGCACGGCTAATTTTTTGTATTTTTAGTAGAGACAGGGTTTCACCATGTTAGCCGGGATGGTCTTGATCTCCTGACCTCGTGATCCACCCGCCTCGGCCTCACAAAGTGCTGGGATTACAGGAGTGAGCTGGCCCCATTTTGCTTTGAATAGCTTTCTCCCTAATTTTGGCAGGTAATTTGCCCAGATTTAGTTAGTCTACATCCAGTAAGTAAACTAATGTATTCACTGAGAGGTTCATTTGCAACCTATTCATTTTAGTGGGTTGATTTGGAAGTTACGTTCTCAAATTCCAGCTTTTCATGGGTGCGTTAATGTTTTTCTATGATAGTGGTAGGCAACTGCTAACTGCTGCTCTGAAAGTCTTCAAGATCAAAGTCATCTGAGCGGGGCTTTAAGCCGTGCAAATTTATTTTTCATTCACAAGCCGTGGAAGACTCAGAACAGTTTGTTTGTGTGTATGTGTGTGTGTTGGTTTTTTTTGTTTTGTTTTGTTTTTTGTGTTTGTTTTGTGTGTGTGTTTTCTTTTGAGATGAGTTTCGCTCTGTCGCCAGGCTGGAGCACAGTGGCATGATCTCGGCTCACTGCAACCTCCACCTCCTGGTCCAAGCGATTCTCCTGCTTCAGCCTCCCGAGTAGCTGGGACTACAGGCGCCCACCACCACGCCTGGCTAATTTTTTGTATTTTTAGTAGAGACAGGGTTTCACCATGTTGGTCAGACTGGTCTCGATCTCCTGACCTCTTGATCCGCCTGCCTCAGCCTCCCAAAGTGCTGGGATTACAGGCGTGAGCCACCATGCCTGGTCCTCAGAACAGTTTTCTAAGTAAATCCCTGTCTCGACCTGCCAGGGCTCCCGTGACCTACCTTCATGCACAGATGGAATGGTTGTCTTTCTAAGTATAAATCTTCATTAGGTTTCTTAATTTTCACCAAAGGTTCTTTCTTCATCTCATCTGATCAGTTAATTTTTGATGTTTGTGAGTCAACCTTCAGTCTGGCTAAGCATGTGTCTTGCTCGTCCAAGCCTTTAGTCAGTATACACCTGGGCTGCTCTCTACTCAATTTTGATTAAATATTCCCCTGGAAAAGTTTAGGAACATAATTGAAGAATTTGTTGTACATCTCATCTCTTAGATATTCTGTTAACTCCATGGGACCCAGCTGGATTACCAGAAAGTCTACCCACCCCGACCCCCCTAGAAGTGTATTCTCTGTGTAACTTTAAAAGAGACATAAGATAAATCCATATGGTAGAATATTATTTGGCAATCAAAAGAAATGAAGTATACACATGCTAAAACATGGATTGAAAACACTGTGCTAAGTGAAAGCCAGTGACAAAAGACCACATATGGTATGATTCCATTTATATGAAATTTCCAGAATGAGCAAATCTATAGAGACAGAAATGTGTGGTGGTCAGGGAGTAGGGAATGACTGCTAATGGGTACATGCTTTTTCCTAGGGATGATAAAATGTTCTAAAGTTAGGTTGTGGTAATGGTTGCACAGTTCTGTGAATATGCCAAAAGCCACTGAATTATACATTTTAAATGGGTGAATTTCATGATATGTGAATTATATTCCAGTAAAAATGTTTAAAAGGGTCATAAGAGGCTGGGCGTGCTGGCTCACCCCTGTAATCCCAGCACTTTGGGAGGTGGAGGCAGGTGGATCACCTGAGGTCAGGAGTTTGAGACCAGCCTGGCCAACATAGTGAAACCCCGTCTCTACTGAAAATACAAAAATTAGCCAGACATGGTGGCACACTCTTGTAATCCCAGCTACCTGGGAAGTTGAGGCAGGAAAATCACAGAGGTTGCAGTGAGCCGAGATCATGCCAATGCACTCCAGCCTGGGTGACAGAGCGAGACTCCGTCTCAAAAAAAAAAAAAAAAAAGGTCTGGGCACAGTGGCTCACGCCTGTAATCCCAAAGCCTAGCACTTTGGGAGGCCGAGGCTGGTGGATCATCTGAGGTTGGGTAACATTGTGAAACCCTGTCTCTACTAAAAATACAAAATTAGCTGGTCATGGTCGTGGGCACCTGTAATCCCACCTACTTGGGAGGCTGAGGCAGTAGAATCGCTTGAACCCAGGAGGTGGAAGTTGCAGTGAGCTGGGATTGCGCTACTGCACTCCAGCCTCAGCAACTGAGTGAGATTTCGTCTTCAAAAATAAAAAAAGAGTCATAAGAAACACCATCTCAGGCAACCCGCTCGGGTCCCCTTCCACGCTGTGAAAGCTTTGTTCTTTCGCTCTTCATAATAAATCTGGCTGCTGCTCAAAAAAAAAAAAAAGAAAAAAGAAAAAGAAACACCATCTGATGACTCCAGAGTTGCACTTATTGTAAAGTTGATTTTGAAGCCTTTGTTCACTACATCTCTAGGAAGATCCATCATAGAAATTCTATTCCGACTGAAGTTGTGTGTGTCTCCTCCCTGTTCCTACTATGTCTCCTGGTCAGGAATGACTGGGCCCATAGTGATGCAAGTCACCAGCACTGCTGTGTTTTTCCCTCTGCTTTGACTCTAGGAAGCTTAGAGCCCAGAGGCTGGTGCAATGGTCTGCGTATTTACTCCTATATTTTCCCCACAGCCTTCGTCTCCCGTTCTACCTATGCTTTTCTGCTTTTCACTTTTATCTCTATCCACATTTTCATTTAATTTATTTGTATTAGCCACTTTGCATCCTTTGTGAAATAAAGGCAAGTAAAAGAAACAAACACACACCTATGGACATTCCTTACAGATGCCTACAGACAATGTCCTCCTTCAATCTTCCCCATTATCTTACGATGTGCCTGGCAGGTGAAACACTTACTCCTCTTCAACAGTCAGACAGAAAAGAACCACTCTCACCATTTGGTTTTGGAGTGACCACTAGATGACCTATTTTAACTAGCCACTAGGCGGCCTATTTGCATGAAGGTTCCAGAACCCTCTGGACACAAAGAAAGGGAGACTTTGACGACTCTCCACATTGAATGGTCAGGTAGGTCTGACTTAGAATCAGGCACTCTGGTGTTTGCACTTTTGACTAAGAAACAAATAATGAAATGCCATTTAAAAAATCTAGTAGGTTGACGACTTTGTATAATGTATACCAAATATTTTTGTTAAACATATGACAACTCTACCCCTAAAATAAACAACTAACTCCTAGAAAAATTCTGTGCTTTTAAGAAGATCAAAGTTTAGGAAAAGGTAATTTCATTTACTTCCAGAAGGAGTAGAAAGGTAACAATAAATACAGTAATGAATATAATCATTAGAACCACTTATTAGAAACAAAAAAGACACATAATAGCACCCAAAATAAAGAACTAAAAGCAAGTTTCCACCGATCAATGTTGTGGTCGCTGTAAACACAATTATTTTCTCTTTTGGGTTATCTATAGGACTTTTTTTTCCTTTGTTCCTCTTTTTTTTTTTTTTTTTTTTGAGACGGAGTCTCACTTTGTCGCCCAGGCTGGAGTGCAGTGGCGCAATCTCGGCTCTCTGCAAGCTCCGCCTCCCGGGTTCACGCCATTCTCCTGCCTCAGCCTCCTGAGTAGCTGGGATTACAGGCATGTGCCACCACGCCAGGCTAATTTTTTGTATTTTTAATAGAGACAGGGTTTCACTGTGTTGGCCAGATTGGTCTTGATCTCCTGACTTTGTGATCTGCCCATCTCGGCCTCCCAAAGTGCTGGGATTACAAGCGTGAGCCACCACCACTCCTGACCTTTTTTTTTTTTTTTGAGACGGAGCCTCACTCTGTCACCAGGCTGGAGTGCAGTGGTGCGATCTCGGCTCACTGCAACGTGTGACTCCCTGGTTCAAGCGATTCTCCTGCCTCAGCCTCCTGAGTAGCTGGAATTATAGGCACATGCCACCACACCCAGCTAATTTTTGCATTTTTAGTAGAGACGGGGTTTCACCATGTTGGCCAGGCTGGTCTCAATTTCCTGACCTCATGATCCGCCCACCTCAGCCTCCCAAAGTGCTGGGATTACAGGCTGTGAACCACCGCGCCCAGCCTTTTTTTTTTTTTGAGATAGGGTCTTGCTCTGTCGCCCAGGCTGGAGTGCAATTGTGTGACCTTGGCTCACTGCAGCCTCTACCTCCCAGATTTAAGCAATTCTTGTGCCTCAGCCTCCCGAGTAGCTGGGATTACAGATGTGCGCCACCACGCCTGGCTAATTTTTGTGTTTTTAGTAGAGATGGGGTTTCGCCATGTTGGCCAGGCTGGTCTCGAACTCCTGACCTCAAGTGATCCACCCATCTCGGCCTCCAAAAGTTCTGGGATTACGGGAGTGAGCCACCCCTCCTGGCCTCTATAGACCTTTTCTGTAGCAATATCCTCTTAAAAACATTCAGTGGGTATATTAATGTCACAAAGTTTCATTTTTCCTGCCTGGTTTCTTTCTAGATTATCTTCAAGAAAGATAACAGAACAGAATTATTTTCTTTCTTTCTCCTCAATCATTTCCATTTGACTTTTCTTTGCATTTGATTTTCTTATTTTTATTTTTTTGAGATGGGATCTCACTCTGTTGCCCAGGCTAGAGTGCAGTGGTGCAACCATAGCTCACTGTAGCCTCAACCTTCCCAGGCTCAAGTGATCCTCCTGCCTAGGCCCCCCGGCATAGCTGAGGCTACAGGTGTGTACCACCATGCCTGGCTAATGTTAAATTTTTTTATACACAGTCTTTCTATGTTGCCAAGGCTGATCTCGGCCTCCTGAGATCAAGCAGTCCTCCCACGTTGGCCTCCCAAAGTGCGGGATTACAGGTGTGAGCTACTGCACTTGGCACATTTGATTTCCATTAACACTGTCCCTTCCTTCATTACCACCCATGCAGAATGCTTCTGCTACTACTGAAATGGTTTTGCTTTCTGTTGAGTACAAAGCCAAGGCCTGGAGTGGTGCTAGAAGGGCCCTGGGTGGACAGTGAGCAGATGCTGTGGCACACAGCTCTCGCCACTACACTCCAGCCTGGGTGACAGAGTGAGACTCCATCTCAAAAAACAAAAAACAACCACCACTTGTGATTCTTATAAGGCTCTTAGATTAAAACTTTTCAAATTGTTGACAATAGTAGCTCTCTTCACTGACAGTGGCTGTGGTAAGTCCTTCCTGGGACTGACATGTGATCCCTGTGCTGGGGTTTGGGGGGTGGGGGGAGGCAGATGCTGTCGTTGTCCCCTCCTACTGAGGAGGGACTGAAATGTTGCACACTTGGGTGAGTTCCTCAGGGCCACAGAGCCAGTGAGTCTGGAGCCGGGCAGGATCTGAACCCAGGACCTGCTGCCCTGGTGCGTGGGGACAGGGCGTGGTGGCATTTCCCTCTCTGGGTGATGATCCTGAGGGGTCTTGGGCAGACTGAGGGCATGAGGGGCTCTTTGCTTCCTCTGCCTTCCATCCCCAGGCTGAGAGGTGGGGTGGGGCTGTGGGACAGGTTTTGAGACTGGGCTCGCCAGCGGGCAGTCCATGGTGTCTCAGTCCCACAGCTGTATTGACTGGATCATGTGGACAGCAAGCTACCAGGCTAGATTTTAAGTGCAGCTGTATGTGACTAGGTCACAGGGACAGCAGGCTTCAGGTTACATTTGAAGTGTCACAGTGTTCCCAGTTCAGCCCGCAGTCAATCTGGAAAGGGTGGCACAGCCATTTCCAACACCTGCCACCTCTTGAGTTCAGAACCACTGTCTACCTGCCCTCACCCACTCAGCGCTACCCAGGGCTGGCCATCAAAAGTTGTTCTCTGTCAGGCAGTCACTGACTGTGGTAGCTTTGTCTCTCCAGGGCCTTGGATGGGGGCATGCTGGTCCTCTGTGTCACTCTGATTAAGGGAGGGGGATGGTTGGGCTCTTGGCTTCTCCCTCCTATGAGGCTGTGGGATCCTTAGGAGTTTGCTTCACCCTTTCCCTACCCCGCCTTCCCCTTGAGCCCTCCATCCTGTCCCCTAGGCTCTTCTGGTGCCATCCAAGGGGCAGAGGCCCAGTGCCGGCTCTCCTGGGAGGCACGAGGCCTGCAGTGGCGCCACTCTCAGCCCTGGGCTTATGGCCTGGCCCTGCCTGCAGCCTCCTGGCTCCAGCCCAGCTGCCCTTGGAGGCGCCTTTCCATGCCAGGTTGAGAGGAAGGGAGGCATCCTTTACAGCAAGTTGGGGGTGCTGTGCCCAGCTTGGCTCAGTCCTCTTCCCCTTCCCCGCTGGGTGCCCCTGCCTGGGCTGCTCTGGAAAGGAAATCGCCGCCTGCATTCCTGGCAGATGCCCCCTCTTAGGAGTTGAACTGTGTCCCCCAAAAGATATGTTCAAGTCCTGATCCCACCCCGCTGTGAATGTGACCTTACTTGGAAATAGGGTCTTTGCAGATGTAATTGGTTAAGATGAGGTCACTAGGGCGGTCCCTTGGCCTGGGCAGTGAGTTTGCAGGTGAAGTGTTAAGTGTCCTGGTGTTCCCAGCTCACGCCACCTCCTTCTCGCCTGGAAGCTCAGGAGCGCCCTGGCTCCCTGGAGACTGCACCTCCGTCTCTGCACCCGCACACCCCTAACGCCCATCCTTGCTTTTTCTCTTTAGCTTTTCCCATAGCCCAACGCTGCCTATATTATCTAATCCTTTCTTTTTTTTTTTGGTATATCTTCCTCCATAGATTTTTTTCCCCAATTCAACAAAAATTTATTGAGCACCGACTGTGTCCACAGGAACTCCCTAGGCTTTCAGCTGGGGCACTGCAATGAATCGGTCACGATTCCCCAGGTGTCCCCTGAAACATCGCTTTTTTTGTTTATTTAATTGTCTTTCCACTAGAGTTGAATCATTCTGCAAGCAGGGATTTCTGCTGTGTCTATTGTTGTGTCCCAAGGGCTTAGGGTGGCATGTGTCATCATTCGGCTCTCAATGCGTATCTGTGGCTGAGTCATGGATGAATGGCTGTGGGAGAGGCGCTTATGGGGGCTTCCCGCTTCCACTGGGCACTCGAGAGCCCACCCTGCAGCTCAGTCCCGAACCTTCTCGATCTCAGGACTCCATGATCTCAGGGTCTCCGCTCGGAGGAGCAGCCCTCTCCGAGAACAGCCAGTGTCTCCTGACTCAGGGACAGGGACCTGAGGAGTACCCACACAGGCCCAGGCCAGCTCTTTCCTTTCCCATGCCGGCTGGGGGCAGGAGGGCACATCTGAAAAGTGCTGAACACTCTCTAAACAGTTGGTCAGTAGTTCAACCTCTCCGCCTGCATATTCTCATAAAGGGAAAAGCAAGGGCGGTGGGGTTGGTGTCATGTTTTCTGTCTAATCTACCATGTATCCACTGGGGCATAGGATTGTGGAAGTGAGGAAAAAGATGGGAGGAGGGGCAAGGACTGGTTAGGCAGTTGGAATAACTGAGTTTATCCAGAAAGACAGTGATTCAGGCTGGTACAAAATCACAATGCTGACTTAACGTGCTGTGCCTTGTTTGCACTGTGGTAACTTGACAGTATTTTTATCTCCTATGGTATTTTTTAAACTTATGTATGTATTTATTCATTTTTAGAGACAGGGTCTTCTATGTTGCCCAGGCTGGCCTTGAACTCCTGGGCTCGAAGGATCCTCTTGCCTTAGCTTCCTGAGTAGCTGGGACTACAGGCGCATACCACCGCACACAGCTATGCAATGATTTTAATACTTCTCTGTATGGGAGCTCTTACATGGCTATAGTTTCCAGAAATTTTGGAATTGAGAACGTGTATCCAATTGTTGGCTATCGATTCTGAGTGTAGCTCCTAACTGCAGTGTATGAACATTGGCCTCTACTGAGCTCTGCAGTTGGTGTGTGATTTTGGGTGCTATAGCTGGGTATTTTTCAGACTCCAGAAGCAAGGCTAATTAGAAACATCTTTACCTTTGTAACCTGCCACCAAAATCATTTGTTAAGTGCACACTGGGAGGGGAAAGGAAAGTTAAATGGTCCTGGCCCTCTGCAGGTATTACATAAGACAAGCAATAATGACAGAGACTTCCAGGGAATACAATGCAAAACATTACTATTGCTTCATTATATGTGAACACAGAAGTGTTACAAGCTAATGACCATTAGTAGTGACAAACTGGATGTAGAAATTAATTTATTCATGGAATCTAATAAGTTTATTAATAATTCTGAGTTAGATGTTTACAAAGCACTCAGTAACATTTTGTGGTGCCCCTGCTAGCACAGTGATAGATATATAGGTAGGCAGGTAGGTAGACAGATACTAGCACTTGACAGCTGGATAGAAACATAGACATCTAGGTAGATGTAGTATGATTCCTGTCCTCAAATAGCTTATTGTCTACCCAGGAGGCTGTGCTAACACACATAAAACAACAAGCAAACAATAAATGAATATATGGCACTAACTAAATCAATCAGCAATGTAATGGGAGATACCAGAAGGCATGATATGGTTTGGCTCTGTGTCCCCACCCAAATCTCATCTTGAATTGTACTCCCATAATTCCCATGTGTTGTGGGAGAGACCCCATTGGAGATAATTGAATCATGGGGGTGGTTCCCCCATACTGTTCTCATGGAAGTGAGTAAGTCTCACCAGATCTGATGGTTTTAACAGGGGTTTCTGCTTTTGTATCTTCCTCATTCTCTCTTTGCCTGCTGCCATCCGTGTAAGATGGGACTTGCTCCTCCTTGCTTTCCACCATGATTGTGAGGCTTCCCCAGCCACGTGGAACTGTAAGTCCAATTAAATCTCTTCTTTTTTAAATTGCTCAGTCTCGGGTATGACTTTATCAGCAGCATGAAAGTGGACTAATACAGTTAATTGGTACCAGTAGAGTTGCTGAAAAGATACCTGAAAATGTGGAAAAGACTTTGGAACTGGGTAACAGGCAGAGTTTGGAACAGTTTGGAGGGCTCAGAAGAAGACAGGAAGATGTGGGAAAGTTTGGAACTTCCTAGAGAATTGTTAAATGGCTTTAACAAAAATGCTGATGGTTATATGAACAATAAGGTCCAGGCTAAGGTGGTCTCAGATGGAGATGAGGAACTTGTTGGGAACTGAAGCAAAGGTGACTCTTGTTATGTTTTAGCAAAGAGACTTGCAGCATTTTGCCCCTGCCCTAGAGATTTGTGGAACTTTGAACTTGAGAGAGATGCTTTAGGGTATCTGGCAGAAAAAACTTCTAAGCAGCAAAGCATTCAAGAGGTGACTTGGGTGCTGTTAAAGGCATTCAGTTTTAAAAGGGAAACAGTATAAAAGTTTGGAAAATTTGCAGCCTGACTATGTGATAGAAAAGCAAATCCTATTTTCTGAGGTGAAATTCAAGCCAGCTGCAGAAATTTGCATAAGTAACAAGGAGCCTAACATTAATCCCCAAGACAATGGGGTAAATGTCTCCAGGGCATGTCAGAGGTCTTCACAGCAGCCCCTCCCATCACAGGCCCAGAGGCCTAGGAGGAAAAAATGGTTTTGTGGGCCAGGCCCAGGATCCCCAAGCTGTGTGCAGCCTAGGGACTTTGTGTCCCGCATCACAGCCACTCCAGCTGTGGCTTTAAAAAGCCAATGTAGTTCAGGTGCAGTGGCTTATGCCTGTAATCCCAGCACTTTGGGAGGCTGAGGTGGGCGGATCACGAGGTCAGGAGTTCGAGACCAGCCTGACCAACGTGGTGAAATCTTGTCTCTACTAAAAATGCAAAAATTAGCCGGGTGCGGTGGTGTGCACCTGTAATCCCAGCTACTCAAGAGGCTGAGGCAGGAGAATCACCTGAACCCAGGAGGCAGAGGTTGCAATGAGTTGAGATCATGCCATTGCACTCCAGCCTGGGCAACAAAGCGAGACTCTGTCTCAGAAAAAAAAAAAAGTCAGTGTAGAGCTTGGGCCATGGCTTCAGAGGGTGCAAGCCCCAAGCCTTGGCAACTTCCATGTGGTGTTGAGCCTGCGGGTGCACAGAAGTCAAGAATTGGGGATTTGGGAACCTCCACCTAGATTTCAGAAGATGTATGGAAACATCTGGATGCCCAGGCAGAAGTTTGCTGCAGGGGCGGGGCTCTCATGGAAAACCTCTGCTAGGGCAGTATGGAAGGGAAATGTGGGGTCAGAGCCCCCACACAGAGGCCCTACTGGGGCACTGCCTAGTGAAGCTGTGAGAAGAGGGCTACCGTACTCTAAACCCCAGAATGGTAGATCCACTGACAGATTACACTGTGTGCCTGGAAAAGCCACAGACACTCAACACCAGCCTGTGAAAGCGGCTGGGAGGGAGGCTGTACCCTGTAAAGCCACAGGGACAGAGCTGCCCAAGACCACAGTAACCTACCTTTTGCATCAGCGTGACCTAGATGTGAGACATGGAGTCAAAGGAGGTCATTTTGGAGCTTTAAGATTTGACGGCCCTGCTGGATTTCTGACTTGCATGAGGCCTGTAGTCCCTTCGTTTTGGCCAATTTCTCCCATTTGGAACAGTTGTATTTACCCAATGTCTGTACCCCCATTGTATCTAGGAAATAACTAGCTTGCTTTTGATTTTACAGGCTCATAGGCAGAAGGGACCTGACTTGTCTCAGATGAGACTTTGTACTGTGGACTTTTTGGTTAATGCTGAAGTGAGTTAAGACTTTGGGGGACTGTTGGGAAGGCATGATTGGTTTTGAAATGTGAGGAAATGAGATTTGGCAGAGGCCAGGGGTGAAATGATATGGTTTGGCTCTGTGTCCCCACCCAAATGTCATCTTGAATTGTACTCTCATAATCCCCACATGTTGTGGGAGGGACCTGTGGGAGATCAATTGAATCACAGGGGCATTTCCCCCATACTGTTCTCATGGTAGTGAATAAGTCTCACAAGATCTGATGGTTTTATCAGGGGTTTCCGCTTTTGCATCTTCCTCATTCTCTCTTTGTCTGCTGCCATCCATGTAAGACAGAACTTGCTCCTCCTTGCCTTCTGCCATGATTGTGAGGCTTCCCCAGTCATGTGGAACTGTAAGTCCAATTAAACCTCTTTCTTTTGTAAATTGCCTAGTCTTGGGTATGTCTTTATCAGCAGCATGAAAACGGACTAATGCAAGGCAGGAATTACAAAATTCTTATATGTGGAATCTAATAATGCCAAACTTACAGAAGCTGAGAGTAGAATGGTAATTACCAGGGTCTGGGCAGGGGCTGGAGGGATTGGGGAGATGTTGGCCAAACAGTACAAAGTTTCAGTTAGACAGGAGGAATAAGTTTTCAAAGTCTATTGCACAGCATGGTGACCAGTTAATAACAATGTATTATGTATGTCAAAATTGCTAATAGAGTAGATTTTAAACATTCTCACTATAAAAAATTATAGGTAGGTAAAGTGATGGATATGTTAATTAGCTTGATATAATCATTTCACAGTGTATACATGTATCAAAACATCACATCATACCCCACAAATGTATATGATTATTCATTTGTTTATTTATTTTTGAGACAGGGTCTCACTCTGTCATCCAGGCTGGAGTTCAGTGGCACCATCATGGCTCACTGCAGCCTCAACCTCCTGGACTCACTCAATCCTCCCACCTCAGCCTCCCAATTAGCTGGGACTACATGCAAGTGCTACCACACCCAGATAATTTTTGTATTTTTAGTCTCTACTAAATTACAGGGTTTTACCATGTAGTCCAGGCTGGTCACAAACTCCTGGGCTCAAGTGATCCACCTGCCTCAGCCTCTCAAAGCACTGGGATTACAGGCATGGCCACCATACCTAGCCTACAATTATTATTTGTCAATTAAAAATAAAAATTTTGGAAAAGAAGGCAAGAGTTATAAGATAACATTTGCTGAATGCCTCTGAGGTGCCCAAAACTGCTTGGTGCTGGAAATACAGAGGTGAGTAAGACATAGCCTTAGCCTCAAGGGTCACTAGCCTGCAGGGCCAAGGGGACCCAGACTCCTGCAAAGCTATTAGACATCTTCCCGGAGTCTTGAGCCATGCCTTTCACACTTCCCGGAGTCTTGAGCCATGCCTTTCACAGTAGGTGCTTGAGATAAGTTTGTGGAATAAGTAAAAATATAAATGTAACGATAATATAATAATAGTGTTTGCCATCATTATTTTCTAGAAGGAATAGAGATATTTTATGGATGGAAGCTGCTACTTAAATAAGCAATTACTTATACAGAAATTAAAATATACATTTAGAGATGCCTTAGGTTTTTTTTATTTTTTTTTATTTTTTTTAAGATAGAGTCTCACTCTGTCGCCCAAGCTGGAGTGCGGTGGTGCGATCTTGACTCACTGCAACCCAGCCTCCCAGGTTCAAGTGATTCTCCTGCCTCAGCCTCCTGAGTAGCTGGGACCACAGGCTGTGCCACCATGCCCAGCTAATATTTTTGTATTTTTAATAGAGACAGAGTTTCGCCATGTTGACCAGGCTGGTCTCAAACTCCTGACCTCAAGTGATCCTCCCCCTTGGCCTCCCAAAGTGCTGGGATTACAGGCGTGAGCCACTGTGCCCAGCCAGATGCCCTAAGTTTTTTATATCCCCCAAAAGCTATTTGACCTAAAAATGACACAGAATGTTAGAAAAAGAACAGAGTCTCAGTTAAGAGCTTCCAGATCTGATCTGGGATTTCCAAACTTTTTCAAAAATTCATTTCCAAACTTTCAAAAAGCCTCCTTTGACATCCAGTTGGAGCTTATGAGTTTCTTTTAATCGTTTTAGTGAACTTACATTTATTTATACCCACTTCCATCATTGCCGTGGTTCACCAAAACAGGATGAATACTGAAGGCTGAAATAAATAACTGCAGACTGCAGGGGAAGCGTAACTATAGCAATGAATTAAAACCCATATTAGCAAACAACACAATTACTATATGGTCACGTAAAGTCACTTGAGGTAATTCATAAATTTCTTTCTGAGCTTCCTGGCAGTCAAAGCAAAAAGAGAAAAATGCTTAGCTTTAAGGGTTATACTTATAGGTTCATAGGTATTCAGAAGAAGCATAATTTTCCTGATCCTGAGATTTTTTTTTTTTTTTTGAGACAGTGTCTCGCTCTGTCACTCAGGCTGGAGTGCAATGGTGTGATCTCGGCTCACTGCAACCTCCACCTCCCAGGTTCAAGCGATTATCCTGCCTCAGCCTCCCGAGTAGCTGAGACTAAAGGCACCCGCCACTGCGCCCCAGCTAATTTTTATATTTTTTAATAGAGATGGGGTTTCACCATGTTGGCCAGGATGGTCTCGATCTCTTGACCTTGTGATCCGCCTGCCTTGGCCTCCCAAAGTGCTGGGATTACAGGTGTGAACCACTGCTCCTGGCTGATCCTGAGATCTCTTAAAGAGGACACACCGCATGATGTGATGGGTGACATTCTCAACTCCATGTCATTGACAAATAGAGCAGGAAAGTTACGAGGGCAATTTCTTACCATGTTTCTCAGGGCAAGCCAAATACATCCCATCAAAGGGCAATTTTGTAAAGGCAACCTTCAAGAGAATGACACAGTGCTTTCTGACTACTCAGCTCCAAAGTGGCCTGATTTCCCTTCAGAGTAAAATCTCCAGTGTCTGGAGGCACAGAGAGATGGAGCCTTTGTTCTTCTGGCGGGGATTTATGATTATGCTTTCTCCCGTTGCGTTATTGACGAGGATGGGATTCCAGAGAGTGCAAGGTAGTATTCACAGTTGGGAGTTTGGAGGGGACATACTCTGTAGCTGTGAAGACATCCTCTTCACTCTGTCAGCCGGGCAAAAGGCAGGTTAAAGTTCTCTTCTCAACACAGAAGAACCAGCCCAAGTAGCTGTTTATTCTCCTATCAGCAGTTTTTGTCAATGCCCTTCTCGCCACCCTCTGGCTGGCTATAAAATCACAATTTTGTTTATTTTAGGCTTTGCTGTTTGTATAGGTTAAAATTGTGTTCTGTTACTCTAATTTTAGATTTTTGATTACTAGTGAGTTACAACTATTTTTATGTTTGCAGGCCATTTGTTTTGCTTGTGTGTTTGTGTGGTACGTTTGGGTTATAAATTACCTACCATGTCCTTTACCTATTTAATCTGTTGGTGTCCTAATGTTTTTCTTCTTAATTTAATTGGGCATTCTATATTTTAAGGGATATTCACCCATTGTCATATTTTCTAATTTACGTCTTACAATGCACATTCTCACCTTGTGTTAGAACTGTCCAAACACCACCAAATCATAGAACATTCAGTAAAATTTCTGGTTGAGTAGAATTAAATTTTTTTTTTTTGAGATGGAGTCTCACTGTGTTGCCCAGGATGGAGTACAGTAGCATAATCTCAGCTCACTGCAACCTCCGCCTCCTGGGGTCAGGTGATTCTCGTGCCTCAGCCTCCCGAGTAGCTGGGATTACAGGTGCGCACCACCCAGCTAATTTTTTTATTTTTATTTTTGTGATTTCAGTAGAGACAGGGTTTCACTATATTGGCCAGGCTGGTCTTGAACTCCTGATCTCAGGTGATCCACCTGCCTTGGCCTCCCAAAGTTCTGGGATTACAGGCATGAGCCACTGTACCCAGCATAGTAGAATTAAATTGAAGAAGGATTTATTATGTGACAATCAGGATGGACCAGGAGATTATCTCAGTAAGAAAATGGAAGAATGAGCAAAATCTATAAATAGTCCTGGAAAGTGCCTTGGACTCAGCTGGCTTAAAATAGTGAAGTCCATCAGTAGTGCCTTGGGACTGTGGCAGAATGTTTTCTTTGTGATTTAAAAAAAAAATCAAGCACTCATTCCAAAAAGAATTGGCAACATTCAAAATCTGCTACTCAGTAATAAATTGAGGAATGATAGATGGTGGGCTGGAGAGATTGTGTAATAGCTGTTTGCCAAAATACCCTAGAAAAATACATGATTTTGTTTTTTATACATTTTGCAAAGAAAATGTTTATCAGTGCTTTACATTTTACGCATGGATGTATACATACTCCATGTTAAGAACACCAAACAGAAAGAAAAAAAGTGAAAATTTCCATGTTCAAGTCAAGCTACAATAATTCTTTTTGAAGCTTCTGATAGGAGGCCTTTTTTTTTTTTTTTTTTTTTTTTTTTTTAGATGGAGTCTTCCTCTGTCACCCAAGCTGAAGTGTAGTGGCATCATGGCTTATGTAGCCTCGACCTCCCAGGCTCAAGTGATCCTCCCACCTCAGAGGATGACGTTCTTAAAGGACTTTTGGGGCATCTCATCTATTTCCCACTCCATCCCAGAATGAGTTCTTAACAAGTGCACAATAAGGACATCTCTGTAGGATATTCCTATAGTCTTTCCATAACTATTAATATGCACTCTCGTGCTCCAGCAATAGTTCCTATTCCTAAGGGGAAAAAAATGGTTTCCCTCTGATGAACAGTGCAAGATTTAAAAAGGAGACACAAGTGAAAGAAAGTGGGGAGTGGTGTCAAAGGCAGCATGAAAAATAGTTTACAGTGCTACCTCTCAAGGACTGTCCTTGGCATTATGGTTGTAAGCAATGGCTTGGGGGTTAGACTCCTTGGGTCCTGGCATGGCTCCGTCACATCTATGCTCTGCAACTTTACTAAACCTTTCTAAGCCTCACTCCTTCATGTCATGGTAGAACAACAATATTGGCTCACAAGTGTCAAGAAGATTAAATGAGACAACGTATGTAACACGTAGCTCAGTGCCTGGAATATAGTAATGTTCAAAAATGTCAGCTCTCGCAAAACCAGCAATGGCAAAGTAGAGCTCATGGACATCATATGGTATTGTTAGAATTATTAATTCCTAGGAGGAACTGAGGAATTTCTTTTTTAATCTTAGATGAGCTACCAGGAAGGAAAATAGAGAAGTGACTTCAGAACAGTGTTATCTTTTCCCACACTGAGATGACATAGAATAGTCTTCTCCCAAGGACATCCTAGCTGAAGGCCGTTGGGGGTGAAGAAGGTTGTGCAACTTTCTCACTCAAGCCTGGCACTGGTTTTTCTTCCAAGGCCTTTTTCTGTTTTTGACAATGAATGTTCAACATTATCTACTTCCAGTTTGGATGAGCATTTTGCTCTCTACACCACTGTCCCACCCAGCCACCATCTTCTCAATATACGTGGACCTGATTTTTAATTAGGTTCATTTTTCTTCATTTTTCCCTTTTATTTTTAGTTGACACAATATAATTGTGCATATGTATGGGATAGAGAGTGATATTTTGATATATGTATATGTGTGGAGTGATCAAAACAGGGTAATTAACATATCTGTTACCTCAAACATTTGTCATTTGTGTTGTGAACATTCAAAATACTCTCTTCAAGCTTTTAAAAAATACTCAACAAATTGGTTATCTATATTTACCCTATGCTGCTGCAGAACACCAGAACTCATTCCTCCCATCTAGCTGAAATTTTGTGTTCATTAACCAACCTCTCCCTATCCTCCTCACCCCCTACCTTTCCTAGCCTCTATAGTGCCCACAATTCTACCTTCTACTTTTATGAGCTCCCACATATGAGTGAGGACATGTGGTATTCTTGTGTACAAGAATTTTGCTTGAATATAATGTCTTCTTATTGTGCTCTAATTTAATGTCTTCCAGGCTCATCCATGTTTCTGTGAATGACAAGATTTCATTCTTTTTATGGTTGAATAGTATCCCGTTATACACACACTCTCACACACACACACACACACACACACACACACACATATTTATCTATCTTAGATATGTAATCTTTCTTAACTCATTCATCTGTTAATGGACATTTATGTTGATTCCGTATCTTAGTATTGTGAATAGTGCTGCAGTAAATGTGGGAATGCAGGTATTCCTTTAATACGCCAATTTTCTTTCTTTTGGATAAATACTCAGTAGTGGGTTTGCTGGATCATATGGTAGCTCTGTTTTTGGTTTTCTGAAAAATTCCACACTGTTTTCTATAATGTCCGTAATAATTTATCTTCCTACTAATAGTCTGGTAAGAGTTCTCTTTTCTCCACATCCTTGCCAGCATTTGTTATTTTTTGTCTTTTCGATGTAGCCATTTGTTTTTTTGTTTTGTTTTGTTTTTTGTTTGTTTGTTTGTTTTTCTCAAGACCAAGTCTCACTCTGTCACCCAGGCTGGAGTGCAGTGGCGCGATCTTGGCTCACTGCAACCTCTATCTCCCAGGTTCCAGCGATTCTCCTGCCTCAGCCTTCCAAGTAGCTGGGATTACACGTGTGTGCCACCACACCCAGCTAATTTTTGCATTTTTAGTAGAGACAGGATTTCACCATGTTGGCCAGGCTGGTCTCGAACTCCTGACCTCAGGTGATCCACCCATCTCGGCCTCTCAAAGTGCTGGGATTACAGGCGTGAGCCATCATGCCCAGCTGATATAGCCATTCTAACTGGGGTAAGATGATATCTCATTGTGGTATTAGTTTGCAATTCCCTGATGATTAGTGATGTTGAGTATTTTTTCATACACCTGTTGGCCATTTGTATGTCGTTGAGAAATGTCTGTTCAGCTCACTTGCCCATTTTTCATTGGATTATTTGTGGTTTTTTTGTTTGCTTTGCTGTTGAGTTCCTTGTATATTCTAGATATTAATTACTTGTTGGATGAACAGTTAGCAAATATTTTCTGTCATTCTGTAGGTAGTCTCTTCACCCTGTTGATTGTTCCTTTGCTGTATAGAAGCCTTTTAGTTTAACATAGTCTCATTTGTCTATTTTTATTTTTGTTACTTGTGCTTTTAAAGTCTCAGCCATAAAATCTTTGCCTAGACTAATGCCCTGAAGCATTTCCCCTGCTTTCGTCAAGTAGTTTTATAGTTTTAGGTTTATGTTTAAATCTTTAATCCATTTTGAGTTGATTTTTGTATATTTCTTATTTGCGTATCCCCACCAGTGAGTTTTATACTTTTGTGTATTTTCATTATGGTAGATATTGTCCTTTCTCTTCTAGATGTTCTTCTTTAAGCATTTTTTATAGGGCTGGTCTAGTGGTGATGAATTTCCTGTTTTTGTTTGTCTAAGAAAGACTATTTCTCCTTCATATCTAATGGATAGATTTAGTGGGTGTGGAGAAGTTTATCCTTTTTTCCTTTTTTTCCCTCCTTTTAGCACCTTGAATATATCATCCCATTCTTTCCTATAAGGTTTCTGGTAGCCTGTAAGGTTTCTGCTAAGAAATGTGCTGCTAGTCTGATGGGGATTGCCTTAAATATATCTTGACTTTTTTCTCTTGCTGTTCTCTTTGTCTTTTACTTTTGACAGTTTGACTATAATGTGCCTCCAATAAACCTTTTTGGATTAAATCTATCTGGGACTCTTTGAGTTGCCTGTCTGGATATTTTCATCTCTTCCAAGACTTGTGAAGTTTTTAGTGATTATTTCCTTAAATAGGTTTTCTATGCTGTTTCCATTCCCTTTTCCTGTAGAACAAATTTTATGAAAATGTGTTTGGTTTACAGTATCCCAAATGTCACATAGGCTTTCTTCATTCTTTTTTTTTTCCTTTTTTCTTTTTTCTTTCTTTTGTTTGACTGAATTATTTCAAAAGACCTATCTTCAAGTTCAAAAATTCTTTCTTCTGCTCAATTTATTTTTGAAGCACTTCAGATCCAGGATTTCTGTTTGGTTGTTTTTTATATCTATCTGTTCAATTGCTCATTCAGATTATGAATTATTTTTCTGATTTTCTTGTATTATCTATCCGTGTTCTCTTGTAACAACTGGCCACTATTTTAAGTTCCTTTTCAGGCATTTCATATATTTCCTTTTCTTTGGAATCTGTTACTGGAGAATTATTTTGTTCTTTTGTCAGTGTCATGTTTCCTTGCTTTTTTTCTGTTTCCTTTGTCCTTATGTTAATATGTGTGCACCTGGTATAATACTTGCTTCTTCAAATTTTATGGAATGGCTTTCATAGGAAATAATTTTCCCTGTAAATGTATCTGTAGTGTTGGTTGGGTAGGGTGCTTTGGCTTTGATTCTGGATGGGCACAGTAATGTAGTCTCTGTATGATTTATTCAGCTTTAATCAATGTCAGTGGGGTCTGTGTGTTCTTCAGTGGCTTAGGCTGTGGTTATTAGTGGAGGCTGTGGCAAGGCTTTTCTGGGGACAAGAACATCAAGTAGGTTGGTCCTTGGTCCCCTGGGTAACATAAGCAGCCATCAGTGGTAGTAGGAGGGGGCCTGGGTATACTAGTTATTGGGCCCCTAGGCAGTGCTTGCAGCACTGGTGGTGGCAGTGCTCATGGCAAGCTGGCCCTCAGGTCCCTGGGCAGTGCTTGTGGCACTGGCAATGGCAGTAGTGATGGCAGGCTGGCCCTCGGGCCCTGGGTGGCACACATTGGTGCTGGTGGCTAGTTAGGTTTTCATTTTTATGATAACAATGTAAACATTTTCATCTAAGGGTCAAGTGGTTTATTGTCATTATTTTATTTTTTCTTGGACAAATTCTTGTTTTCCCTAGTTACATATTGCCTTGTATTTTTCACTTTCACAGTTTCCTATGTATTTATTCTTATTTTTGCTTATACTATGCTCATTTTTTCCATTTAGTATGTCATGTGCCTAGCAATACATTATTTTTTTTTAAATACTCAAACATATTGAGTAATCTGTTCTGACTTTTCCTGGGAACGCTTCCCCATGGAGCACCTTGTCAGACTTCCTCCCTCTCAGCTAGCCCTCTGTGGGCCCACGTCCCTTCCATTACCTGGGCTTTTCTTGACTGCTTTTTGTGTTGAGGATTCCATGGGTTCTTTCCTGTAGCCAGTCTATGAAGGAATTTAAAGGAAAGGGTATGAGGGAGGTGACTTTTTAAAAACTTTGTATTATGATAAATTTTCAACAAAACCAAAGTAGAGAAAAGAGCATCAGAAGCTCTCATGTGTCCTTTTCCAAGTTTCCACAATCATCAACATAAGGCCAATATTGTTTCAGCTAAACTCTTTCCCACTCCCTTTAACCCATGGATATTTTAATGCAAATTCCAGATATCATATATTCATCTGTAAATGTTTTATTATGCATTTCTATTTAAAGACCTCTGGGCATGGTGGCTCATGCCTGTAATCCCAGTACTTTGGGAGGCCAAGGTGGATCACTTGAGCCGAGAAATTCAAGACCAGCCTGGGCAACATAGCGAGACCCCCCCCTCTACAAAAAGTTTAAAAATTAGCCAGATATGGTGGTGGGTGTCTGTAGTCCCAGCTAGCCAGGAGGCTTAGGTGGGAGGATCGCTTGAGCCTGGGAGGTTGAGGTTGCAGTGAGCTGTGATCACTCCATCACACTCTAGCCTAGGTGACAGAACGAGACCTTGTCTCAAAAAATTAAAATAAATAAATAAATAAAACTTATAAAGAAAACTCCTAACCACAATGCCACAATGCCATTACCACACCTGAAAAAATTAGCACTATTCTCTAAAGTCATCAAATATTCACTTGGTATCATACATGTGTTGGCTTTTTAAAAATACAATTAGTTCGAATCAGCATTCAAATAAGATTTGATTGTGATTAGTTATGTCTCTTAAGCCTCTTTTAACCTATAGGTTTTTCTCCCTTCCTTTTTTCTTGCAATATTTTTGTTGAAGAAACCTGGTCATTTTTGGCTGTGTCTCCACATGCATTTAACCTGTTCCTCTGTCTTGGTGTTCTAGAGCCTCCATCTATTTCAGGTCTGATTTTATTTTGGCAAGATTATTTCACATGGATGTACTTCCAGCCATCAGATTGACTCCTCTCTTTCTGTGGCGCTATCAGCCATTGATAATTACCTGAATCAACCAAAAGCAGTTTTACCCCGACCCCCACCCCACCTAGGGACATTTGGCAATGTCTGAAGACATTTTTGATTGTCCTGACTAGGGAGGAAGGATGCTACTGGCATCCAGTGGGTAGAAGACAGGAATGCTGCTATATATCCTACAACAGTCAGGACAGCCCCCTAACCCCCAACAAATATAATAATATGTTGATTAACAACAGGGATACATTCAGAGAAATGTGTCGTTAGGAGACTTCATCATTGGGCAAACACCATAGAAGGCATTTAGGCAAACCTTGGTGTCATAGCCTAGTATACACCTAGGCTATATGGTATAGCCTACAAATCTAGGCTACGAATCTGTATAGCATGCTGCTATACTAAATACTGTATGCGACTGTAACACAATGGTAAGTATTTGTGTATCTAGACATAGAAAAGGTACAGCAAAAATACAATATTAAAACATTACGGGACCACCGTCATATATGCAGTCCATCATTCACTGAAATGTCATTTTGCAGTGTGTGACTGTAATTATCTAATCTAAATTGTCAATAGTACTGAGATTCAAAATCTTTGATAAGATCTGTTTATTCCTTAGAGTTTCAAAGGGGGTTATGTTCTGCTTCTATTATGTCTTCTTTACTTATTAGCTGGAACAGGGCCAACATATATTAGGATTTTGACACATTTACTTCATCTATGCCCTTCCTCTTTTTTTGTTGTGGTTGAAGGATTGAAAAGCAAATCCCACATATCATCTTATTAATCCTAAACATATTTAAAAAATGGACATTTTCTTACATAGTCATAATGCTTTTATCGCACCTAACAAAATTAGCAATAATCTTGGTATCCATATTCAAATTTACCTCAGTAAATGTGAACTACATATTTACAAATGCTGAACTACAGCATTTTCCCTTTTTGTTTTATTTTTCAAAATTAGGATTCAAAAAAATCCACATGTTGTATTTTTAGTGGTTCTGTCTTGAGAACTTTCTAACCTAAAGCAGTGGAGCTGTCTGTGTAAGCCCTTGTATGTCTGCAATATTTTTCTTCTACCCTCATATTTGACTCATAGTTTTGTTGGTATAGTGTACACCATGGCTGCCTTCCTAGGATTCATTTAAACTTCCTCCTTCCTGATAAAATCCCGATCTTATTTGGATGTCCACTCCTCCCTCTTCAGCCACATGCCTCAAGAGAGGCTCATTCTGGAGGAGAGCATGGGTAGTCTAAGTGTATTTCACCCATCTGGACAGATTGGTTCAACCATGAGCATGCGATTCTTGGCTCTAAACCCTGAGGGGATATATATAGTTTTTTTGTTTTGAGACGGAGTCTCGTTCCGTCGCCCAGGCTGGAGTGCAGTGGTGTGATCTCAGCTCACTGCAACCTCCACCTCCCGGGTTCAAGCGATTCTCCTGCCTCAGCCTCCCAAGTAGCTGAGATTACAGGCGTCAGCCAAAACACCTGGCTAATTTTTGTATTTTTAGTAGAGATGGGGTTTCACCATGTTGGCCAGGCTGGTCTCGAACTCTTGACCTCAAGTGATCTGCCCGCCTCAGCCTCCCAAAGTCCTGGGATTACAGGTGTGAGCCACTGCACCCAGCCTGAAATGTACTTTATTCTAAAAGAGAGACACTCAGACATGTTTCTTTTCTGGGCATCATCAGGTCTGGATGAGATGCTGGAACTGCACCTCTCACCTCAGGACCCATCTCAGAGTTAGCCTGACCCTAAAGATGCCAAAACAGAAAGAAGGAGAGAACCTGGCCCAGCCACTCCTAGACCTGGTCTGTCTTTGTGCTTATTTATATAGCAAGAAAATATAACTTATTTTTAAAACCCTGTTCAAATGGTGGCTGCTCTTATTTGCAGCTGAAACATCCTCATGGATAGACATGGGTATAGAATTTTAGGTTGAAAATATTTTTTTCCTTAGGATTCTGGTATCATTGCTCCAATGCTTGCTTTAAAAAATACTTCTATTTTGAAATAGATTAACAGGAAGTTGTAAAATTAGTACACAGAGGTTCCACATACCCTCCCCAGTTTCCCCCAGTGGATACATCCTACATAACTATAGCTAAATATACCAGGAAGGCGACTTGGGTTCCAATACTTTCTTATGTTCAGTATCGTTATTGGAAAGTCAATGCCATGATGAGTCCTTTTCTCTTTTTAATGTAACCTAATTTTTCTCTGCGGAAGCCTCCAGCATCTTCTTCTTAGCCCTGATGTTCTGAAATTTATTGACGGCATGCCTTGATGTGGTCTTTTTTCATTCATTGCTCTGAACATTCTGAGTCTAGAGGCTTGTGGCTTTGGGGTCCTGGAAAATTTATGGTATTATGTATTTGACAATTTCCTGTCCTCTGTCTTTATTTCTTCTTTGAACAGTGTTTTGGTGCTGAGCTCCCTGGATTGCTCTCTGATGACTTTATCTTTTGTTTTCTATTTCCCGTCTTTGCCACTTTGTTCTTTTCTGTGTCTGACATTGCCTCCACCTCTGTTCTGTCCCTCCTGGTCCTGGTTCCTTGTTTTCTTCTCAGAGGGGTCTCAGGATGAATTGGCCCATGTATGAGTTTTCTGTTGTTGGCCTAATAAATCCCCCTAAAGTCAGCAGTTGAAAACAGCACACATTTATTATCTCAGTTTCCACCAGTTGGAGTCCAGTTATGGGGCCGCTGGGCTGTCTGTTGAGGTCTCCCCAGGCTGACATCAAGACATTAGCTGAGGCTGGGGTCTCCTCTGAGGCCCAGGACCCATTCAGGTTGTTGGCAGAACCTGGGTTGTTGTAGTTGTAGGGCTGAGGTTCCCACCTCCTAGGGGTGCCCCCCATTTCCTGGCAGGTGGTCCTCTCCACCTGGGTAGTTTGTTTCTTCAAGGCCAGAAGGAGAAGGAGAGTATCTGCTGTGCTTCCTGTGTCTTACCTCTAGACACACCAGGACAACATCCCTTTTTATCAACTCAAAGTTAACTGATGAGGGGCCACACTCCAGGGGAGGGAATGCTATAAGGTGTGTACACCAGGGGGTGGGAATTGGAGGCTACCTTAGGATCCTTCAGCCCACAGTACCCTCATGTGCTCTTCTCATGCATCTCTGATTATAGCCTCTTGTTCTCACTCCCCAAATTTTGTTCCTAGTTCTTGCCTGGCAACATTACCTCGCCTATCCTTTCTGTCTTTTCACTTCATCTTAGTGGTTCTTTTTTTTTTTTTTGCAGGTTGGGGGGCATGAATGTTTGTGGTTCGTTTACGATGTTTAACTCAAAGTCCTTGAGCAGTTAAATTTTTGAAGGTGTGAGTTTTTTCTTAATGAGTAATGCAGAGTGTTTCAATGCAACACACTCTTGTCTGATAATTTATCGCTGAACAGCCTACTGAACAACTTTTAGATAAAACCTACCTGAGGGAAAAAAATCCAAGTCACCACTGGATGGCACCAAAAAACAAGGAATTTAAAGGGGCTTCTCTGCCTGCTGACGTGTCACATAGAGCTTCATTTTCCCAAATGTGAGGGAGAAATGCTATTTATTTATTTATTTAGAGACGGGGTCTGGCTCTGTTGCCCTGGCTGGAGTGCAGTGGTGCGATCACAGCTCACTGCAGCCTCGACTTCCTGGGCTCAAGCAATCCTCCCACCTCAGCCTCCTGAGTAGCTGGGACTACAGGCACACACAACCATGTCTGCCTAATTTTTTTCTATTTTTTTGTAGAGACACAGTCTCACTATAATGCTGGTCTCTAACTCTTGGGCTCAAGTGAACCTCCCATTTTAGCCTCCCAAAGTGCTGGGATTACAGGCCTGAGCCACCGTGCCTGGCTGGGGATGCTATTCTTTGAGATACGTGTTGATGAGCTTTTGTTAGAAGAGCTTGTTACCGTGCTCTTTACCCTGAGGCTGAGGCTCCCTCCCCTGAGAAGCTGCACCACCTGGGACAGACATAATTGCCTGGCTGGAGTCTCACACAGGGTTTTATTTTTTATTTTTTTAAAATTTATTATTATTATACTTTAAGTTTTAGGGTACATGTGCACAACGTGCAGGTTTGTTACATATGTATACATGTGCCATGTTGGTGTGCTGCACCCATTAACTTGTCATTTAGCATTAGGTATATCTCCTAATGCTATCCCTCCCCCCGCCCCCCACCCCACAACAGTCCCTGGTGTGTGATGTTCCCTTTCCTGTGTCCATGTGTTCTCATTGTTCAATTCCCACCTATGAGTGAGAACATGTGGTGTTTGGTTTTTTGTCCTTGTGATAGTTTGCTGAGAATGATGGTTTCCAGTTTCATCCATGTCCCTACAAAGGACATGAACTCATCATTTTTTATGGCTGCATAGTATTCCATGGTGTATATGTGCCACATTTTCTTAATCCAGTCTATCATTGTTGGACATTTAGGTTGGTTCCAAGTCTTTGCTATTGTGAATAGTGCCACTATAAACATACGTCACACAGGGTTTTAAAAAAGTTCATTGCAGCTGGGCGCGGTGGCTCACACCTGTAATTCCAGCACTTTGGGAGGCCAAGGCGGGCCGATCATGAGGTCAAGAGATCAAGACCAGGACATGGATGAAGCTGGAAACCATCATTCTCAGCAAACTATCGCAAGGACAGAAAACCAAACACCACATGTTCTCACTCATAAGTGGGAGCTGAGCAATGAGAACACATGGACACAGGGAGGGGAACATCACACACCGGGGCCTGTTGGGGAATGGGGGGGCTAGGGGAGGGATGGCATTAGGAGAAATACCTAATGTAGGTGACAGGTTGATGGGTGCAGAAAACCACCATGGCACATGTATACCTATGTAACATAACTGCACGTTCTGCACATGTAACCCAGAAATTAAAGTATTATAATAATAATAATAATAAAAGAGATCGAGACCATCCTGGCCAACATGGTGAAACCCCGTTCTACTAAAAATACAAAAATTAGCAGGAGACTTGCTTGAACCCGGGAGGCAGAGGTTGCAGTGAGCCGAGATCATGCCACTGCACTCCAGCCTGGCAACAGAGTGAGACTCCGTCTCAAAAAAAAAAAGTTCATTGCAGATACCATTGAAGGACAGGAGTTCTGGGAACTTCTGAGGCCGAGCTGTAAATATCAGAATGTCTGGCCTGAAGGACGAAAGCACGGAGTGTTAATTTTCAGACAGACTGTGGGGATGTGGGGTGAAGAGGGGACGAGGTCCTAGAAAGGGAAAACCAACTGTGCTTCCTTCTACTGTCACACACTTCACATCAGACACCAAACAGGCAGGGTTTTCTGACACCAACCAATTCTCCATTTTTCTGTGGATGCCAGCTGGATGTCCTATGATTTAATCCAGTTCTGACACCATCTGCCTAGAGTTAGCATCAGATCTCACAGGTGGAGGGCTCAGCCCCACAAGGCTGCCCTGCTTCAGATGCCAATCGCAGGTCTGGACCTCCCTTCTGACTCCTGACTGGCCGGCTATGAACTGTGGATTCCCACAGCCCCCTCCTTGAATTCGATCGTTTGCTAGAATGGCTCACGGAACTCAGGGAAACACTTTACTTTTGTTTACCCGTTTATTATGGAGAATACAACTTAGGAACAGCCAAATCGCACTGGGCAAGGAGGGGAAAGGGTCACGAAGGCCCAGCACTTCCGTGTGTTCATCAACCCAGAAGCTCTGAGAACTACGTCCTTTTGGGTTTTTACAGAGGCCTCATTACGTAGACACGATTGATTCCAACATTGCCCCCTCAGAGGCTGGGGAGTGGGGCTGAAAGTTCCAGTCTCCTCATGATCTGGTTGGTTTCTCTGGTAATCAACCCCAACCTTAGGCCTTTCCAAAAGTCACTTCACTCACACAAACTCATGAAGCAAGAATAGCCTCCCTACAAGCAACAAGAGATGCTCCTTTTTCACCTTTGTAGCTCCAGAGCTGTTCGGGAACTGGAGACAAAATCTAAATATTGTAACAAAAGCTGCTCCTGTCATTCTTATCACTTAGAAAAGTACAAGAGTTTTAGGAGCTGTGGCTGGGAGCCAGGGACAACACCACAATGCGTGTTTTTTTTTTTTTTTTTTCCGAGACGGAGTTTCGCTCTGTCGCCCAGACTGGAGTGCACTGGTACCATCTCGGCTCACCTCAACCTCTGCCTCCTGGGTTCAAGCGATTCTCCTGCCTCAGCCTCCTGAATAGCTGGGATTACAGGTACCCGACACCACGCCCGGCTAATTTTTGTATTTTTAGTAGAGACGGGGTTTCACCATGTTGGCCAGCCTGATCTTGAACTCCTGATCTCGTATTTCTTATGATCCCACAGTATCACCAGAGCCTGCTAGTGCTGCCAGTAGGCCCTGGAGAAAGGAGGCCGAGGTGGACTGGGTGCAGACCCTCCCCATGCTCAGACTCCAGGGTGGTCGGCCCAGAAGCTTCCAGAGCCTGGAGGTGAGGCAGCAGTGTTCTGCTTCCTGCCTGGAAGGCCAGTGGGGGGGCTGAGGAGCCTTGAGTCCCTGGGTGGCCGCAGGCTGGTGGAGTGTGTGTTGGCAGGAGCCTGCAACAGCGTCCTGGGAGGCTGCATCTGCCACAATTCACAGAGAAGATGCACACAAGCTCCCCTGTATCACTGTGCGGGGGCTCGGGAGGTGGCCGGGAACGAAGTGCTCGTGTGACTGTCTTGGAGAGATGTCGGGTGGGGCAGGGGTTGTCTCAAAGCCAGGAGAGACAGCTGAGGGAGAGCAAGGCCTGGAAACAGGGGCGCCTTAGGCCTGCCTGTCACCTCAACTGCAGGGGCCACGCTGCCCGGGGCCTGGCTGTGCCTGGGGTCCACCTCTGCCCAGCTTCCTGGGGGCTCCCTCCAGGGTGCTGCAGAGGTGTGGGGCCGGCCCGTTTCCTGGGACACCGCTGACAGCCAGCCCGGGCTCAGGGACGCCTTGTGGCCTCTTGGAGCCTTCCCTGGGCCACAGGCAGGCCAGTCCCCCTCACCAGCCCTAACGCTTCCTGCCCCTGCCCCTGGCAGGCTTCTCCGGCTCTCTGGGTCCTGCGCGTTCAGCCGCCTCTGTGTAAGCGCCCTGAGGACCAGGTCCCCACTGCCCCTGATGCCGCAGGCCCCCCCGCAATGCATGCAGGCCCGGCATGCAGGCCTCTGATCTGCAAAGGGGAAAGGAGAGGAAAGATTTCAGAGAGAACAGCCCTGCATGGAGTTGGAACCTTGAAATGACTGAATTTAGAACCAGAGTTGCCTGCTTACGGGAAAGGAGCTACTCAAACAGAAGAGACAGAGTGACATTGAGGTGCCAAGATGAAGTATGTTTCCCGAACAAAGTGGGTATAGGAATTTGAGAGCCAATAGCTCCACTCTAGAAAATTAAAGACGGGCGTATTTCTGCATATCGGGGCCAGAGTGAAGGAACCTCCGCCGGCTTCACTGCACATTAAAGACCCCCCTGGGCTGCTCTTGCCTCATGAATCTGATGCCCCCTGAGCAACCTCTCACCCTTCAGCACTGCTCAGGTGGGCTCTGTGCTGCTGTGCAGTGGAGCAGGTGGGAAAGGAATCCGCTGTTCCTCCAAAATTCACGTTTACCCAGAACCTCAGAATGTGAGTTTGTTTGGAAATAAGCTCCTTGCAGATGTGATTAAGGCTCCAGCTGAGGTTATACTGGATTAGGGCAGGCCCTAAATCCAAGGAGAGAGCCTTGTAAGAGACAGAAAAAGACATACAGAGACAAGAGGAAAGAGGCCAGGGAGATGGGGCAGAGACTGGAGTGATGCTGCCACGAGCCAAGGAATGCTGGAAGCCACCAGAAGTGGGAGGGGGTGAGGAAGACCATTCCCTAGAGACTTCAGCGGGACCATGGCACTGCTGATAGCTTAGTGTTGGGCTGCTGGCCTCCAGAACTATGAAAGTAAATTTATGTTATTTTAAGCCACCCAGCTTGAGGTAATTCTTATGGCAGCCCTACAGAGCAAATACACTTCTCTGACACAATTATGGTGATAAGAATTGGCCCAACCCTAACAATGTGGGGTCTGGCATAAGCGTACACATCCCCCATGTCTAAATATTTAAAACCACACACTGCTCTTCATATCCGTTAGGATGGCTATTATTTAAAAGAACCCCCACAAACACAAAATAACAGGTGTTGGTGAGAATGTGGAGAAATTGGAAATCTCCTGAATTGCTGGTGGGATTGTAAAATGGTGCAGCCACTGTAGAAAACAGTTCTCCAAATAGTTAAACATAGATTCCCATTTGATTCCCTAGTTACACTTTGGGTATGTACCCAAAAGAATTGAAGGCAGGAACTTGAACAGATACTTGTACACCAGGGATCATAGCAGCCCTGATTCACACTAGCTGAAAGGTGGAAACGACCCAATTGCCCATGATGGAGGAATGGATACACAAAACGTGGTATGTAGCTACAATGGGACATTATTCAGCCATAAAAAGGAAGGAAATTCTGACACATTGATACATGTGATCTGACACATTGACACACGTTGATACACCTCCTTGGTTAAATTTATTCCTATAATATGGATGAACCGTGAAACCGTTATGCTGAGTGAAATAAGCCAGATAGAAAAGGAAAAATAAATATGATTCCACTTGCATGAGGAACCTAGAATAGGCAAATACATAGAGAGAGAAAATACAATGCTGGTTACCAGGGGCCGGGGAGAGAAGAATGGGGAGTTAGTGTTTAATGGGCACTAAGTTTCTGTTAGGAATGATGAAAAGTTCTGGAAATGGATAGTGGTGTTGGTTGTACAACATTGTCATTATACTTAATGCCCCTGAATTGTACTCTTAAAAATGGTTAAAATGGTAAATTGCATTTTATGTATATTTTACCACAATAAAAAAATTTAAAACAAGCTACTAAACTGTTAAATAAAATGTTCTATTCTTTACCTTGACCAATATACATTTTTCATTTATAATTATTTTTTTTTATTTATTTACTGATTTTGAGATAGAGCCTTGCTCTGTTGCCCAGGCTGGAGGGCACAATCTCTGCTCACTGCGACCTCTGATTCCCAGGTTCAAGCAATTCTCATGCCTCAGCCACCCGAGTAGCTGGGATTACAGGCATGTGCCACCACAACCGACTAATTTTTTGTATTTTCAATAGAGACGGGGTTTCGTCATGTTGCCCTGGCTGGTCTCAAACTCCTGGCCTCAAGTGATCCACAGCCTCGGCCTCGGCCTCCCATAGTGATGGGATTATAGGTGTGAGCCACTGCAACTGGCCCCGTTTATTATTATTTTTAATTGACACATAATAATTGTAGATATTTATGGGGTACATTGTGATATTTCCGTACACATATACAATATGTAATAAGCAAATCAGGGTAGTTAGCATATCTATTACCCCAAACATATTTTGTTTCTTTGTGTTGGGAATATTCAAAATTTCCTCTTCTAGCTATTTGAAAATATACAATAAATTATTAATTATAGTTACCCCATAGTCCCATAGAACACTAGCACTTATTCCTCCTGTCTAGCTGTGCAGTTGTATCCCTTCATTAACCTCTGGCTTTGCCTCCCCACCCTTCCCAGTGTCTAGTAACCACTCTTCTATGCTCTACTTCTGTGAGATCAACTTTTTTAGCTTTCACAGATGAGAACATGTTTTATCTTTCTGTGCCTGGCTTATTTCACTTAACATAATGTCCTCCAAACTCATTCATGTTGTTGCAAATGACACAGATTTTTGTTCTTTTTTATGGCCAAATAGTATTCCATTGTGTATATATGTACCACATTTTCTTTTTTTAAAATTTTCTTGGATGCGTAATATATGTACATAGTATATCACATTAAAAAATCTATTCATCCATTGATGGACACTTAGATTGATTCCATATCTTCACTAGTATGAATAGTGCTACAATAAACATGGGAATGAAGCTATCTCTTCAACGTACTTATTTCCTTTCTTTCGGATATATACCCAGTAGTGGGATTGCTGGGTCATATGGTGGTTCTAGTTTTAGTTTTTTGAGAAACCTCAATACTGTTTTCCATAATGGCTGTACTAATTTACATTCCTGCCAACAATGTATAAAAGGTCTTTTTCTCTTCATCTTCACTGGTATTTGTTATTTTGAAAATCTTTTCATGACAGCCATTGTAACTGGAGTAAGATGAATAGCTCATTGTGGTTTTGCTTTGGATTTCCCTGATGATCAGTGATGTTGAGAAATTTTTCATATACTTTTTGATCATTTGTATGTCTTTTAAAAGATGTCTACTCAGCTCATTTGCTCATTTTTAATGTTTTAATTTGTTTTAATGAGCCAAACAAATACATTCTATTTGTCTTGCTTTGCTGTTGAGTTGTTTTTGAGTTCCTTGTATATTCTGGATATTAATCCCTTATCAGTTGAATAGTTTGCAAATGTTTTCTCCCATTCTGCAGGTTGTCTCTTCACTATGTTGACTGTTTTCTTTGCTATGCAGAAGATTTTTGGTTTGATATAATCCCATTTGTCTATTTTGCTTTTGTTGCCTATGCTTCTGAGGTCTTCTCCATAAAGTCCTTTTCCAGACCAATGTTCTGAAGTGTTTTCCATATATTTTCTTCTAGTAGTTTCATAGTTTTGGGTCTTACATTTAAGTGTTTAATCCACTTTGAGTTGGTTTTTGGATATGGTGAGAGATAAGGAGTCTAGTTTTATTTTTCTGCACTTACTTATTGAAGCAACTGTTGAAGAGACTCTTCTTTCTCCAATGAATATTTTTGATATTCTTCTTGAATATTGGTTGGCTGTAAACACGTGGATATATTTCTGATTTCTCTATTCTGTTCTATTGGTTCATGTGTCTGTTTTTATGCCAATACCAGGCTGTCTTGGTTACTGTAGTATATTTTGAAGTCCAGTAGTGTGATACCTCCAGCTTTGTTATTTTTGCTCAAGAGTGCTTTGGCTATTCAAAGTTTTTTGGGATAGCATACAAATTTTAGGATTGCTTTTTCTGCTTCTGTGAAGAATGTCATTGGTATTTTGATAGGAGTTGTATTAAATCTGTGATCAGTTGTGGCAGTGTGTTCGTTTTTACAATATTAAATCCAATCCATGAAAATGATCTGTTTTTTGTGTCCTCTTCAATTTTATTTTTTTTAGCAGTGTTTCATAATTTTCCTTTTAGAGATCTTTCACCTCCTTGGTTAAATTTATTCCTAGGTATTTCATTTTTTGAAAAATAGACTTTTGAAACAATTGGAAGGCCAGGTTCAAGTTTAGAATTCTTGGACTCCTTGGAGTTCCTTGACAGAACATAGCCACAGAGTATGCCCATGGCCTATAGCCCAACCCTCTTCTCTTACTGAGCTTGGCCCTGTTCCTCTCTGTGAGGAGCTTTACTTGCAAATGTGTGGCTACCCCTGGGAACATATCCAAGTTCCATGCACACCCTTTGAAAACAGCCCTGACTTGGCCACCCCTTGGCCCAGGAGTATAGCCACTGGCAGCATGCATTACCTTCAGTGGGACAGACCCAGCGACAAGGCCTGTGCAGGCCCTGGAAGCAGGCTCAGAGCTGTTTGGCCCAAAATACCAGGGTCTTTGATATCTAGAGTGCAACAAAAAGGGGAGGGCCATAGGCTGCAGGCAGGCACATGGCCTGGGTCCCACAGACTTTGACCCTATGGTGGAACGTGATTGAGGAGGCCACTGTAGGCCTGTAAAGTGTGGGCTCAGGTAGCAGCCCCACATCATCAGGCCTAAGGCAGGATTAAATAGTTTGGGATGCTTACTACCTGGGATGGACTGAAATGGGGCTGCAGAGGTCATTAATACCTGAAGCGAATCTTTGTCTCTCCTTTTGGCCACCCAGAGTCTAACGCCCTTTCCATGTTGGGGGAATTCTCCACCTCTATAATCTCACTTTCCCAGCTTCCCTTCCTGTGGGCCATGGGCTTTGATCTTGGCACAGCCAATTAGATGTTTCTGGTCCCGACTTTGCCTTATCTGCTGCTGCCAAGAAGGGGCAGGCCACAGAGAATGGTCTCCCTGGTGGGGGTGGTGATGGCAGGAAGATGGGTAGCAGGAGCAGTGCTAACAGCGCGTCGGTGCAGGGTATCAGTGGTAATAGGAGGTGCATCTGAGTCATCGTGGCTTGGGGGAGGTAGCAGCAGTGTCTTGATGCAGCTAATGATGCTGCATGATTTTAGCTCATGCAGTTGTTTTTGGAATTCTAACTTAGCCTGGATTTTTTTGTCTTCCTGGAGATTCTGTGAGCTAGATAATATCCTTTTAATAAATCATCTTTCTACTCAGCTTAGTTGGTGTCTGTTTCTGTTGCTTGCACTTAAGAGCCCTGACTGACACAGGTTGCTTGTCACATGTGTAGTTTGGGGTCAGAAGTACCTGCAAAGTACCTTCCATTTAGCTTTAGATGAAGCATACCAGCCTATTGATTGCAAGAGGGCTCCTGAGAGCTAGATAGAACAAAGGATATTTGGGAAGTGATCTAGAAGCATGTCCTCCAATGCAGCGCTCTTTAAAAAGTTGCCCTCCAGCAACCCAAGTGCCCATCTACACATGAACAGATAAACAAAGTGTGGTTTACGCATACAGCAAAATGTCATTCAACTTTCAAAAGGAGGGAAATTCTGACACATGCTATAACATGGATAAACATCGATATCATGGATAAACCATGATAAATCATGCTAAGTAAAATAAGCCAGACCCAAAAGGACAAATACTGTGTGATTCCACTTACATGAGGTCCCTAGAGTGCTCAGATTCTTCAAGAGAATATAGAATGGGGGTTGCCAGGGGCTGGGTGGAGGGGAAATGGGGAGGTATTGTTTAATGGGTCTGGAGTTTCAGTATGGGAGGATGAAACAGTTGTGGAGATTGATGGTGGTAATAGCTGCACAACATACTTAATGCCACTGAACTGTACATTTAAATGTGCTTAAACTGGTAAATTTTATGTTATATATATTTTACCACAGTAAAATCAATTACAGGTTGGGCATGGTGGCTCATACCTGTAGTCCTAGCACTTTGGGAGACCGAGGTGGGTGGATTGCTTGAGCCTAGGAGTTCAAGACCAGCCTGGGCAACATGGTGAAACTCTGTCTCTATAAAAAATACAAAAATCAGCCGGGCATGGTGTTGTGCACCTGTAGTCCTAGCTACTTGGAAGGCTGAGGTGGGAGGTCACTCGAGCCTGGGAGGTCAAGCCTGCAGTGAGTGGAGGTGGTGCCACTGTACTCCAGCCTGGGCAACAGAATGAGACTCTGTCTCAAAAAATTAAATCAATTATGAGGGGGGTGGGGGAGAGAGAGAGAGATACTCCACAGAGAAAGTTTTGTGTGTCAGAGTCTGAAAGTGAGACTTGAGCCCCACGTCAAATTAAATTTCCTAGTCCTCAGATTGGCCCTTATAAACTGGCTTCAGGCATATGGTATGGAGTCATCTCTGTGGTAAGGTCTGACAATGTTCTCTTCGGGTAACCCCTCACTGGAGCCAACACAGGTGCTGAGGTCCCAGGTGGGTGTCCGTAACCATGACCTCGGGGTTCATCATGGACCAAGCTGCAGCAGCGAAGATGTGGACACCCCTTCCTGCAGATCCCATACATGGATCCCTGAAAGTCTTCCCCAGGAAGGGCTTGAGGAAATCTAGACTCGAGGTCAGGAGATATTCATGGTCTGGCTAGAGATTCATGGCCCCCGCTCTCAAAGTAGCAAACTCCATGGCACCAGGCAGGCAGCTCCATGCCACTGCAGTTGAGGGAGGGAACGGACGAAGAGGCAGTCGGGTGGCCCTGAGCTGAGTGAGTTATAAACAGGAACAAATCTTTCATTCCCAAGGGCCTCATACTTTTACTGTGGAACTAGAAGAAAATGAGGTGTTGTCCTGAGTACTTCAAAGTCATGTCCCAGACTAGTGGCAAACAACCGATCTTTCCTCTTGAGACATGTTCACTGGTTCTAAAGGCATTAAACAACGATTCCATTAAACAATGGACTTCTGGGGAGGGTACTTTTTGGGCCCCAGTTGACAGAATATGGCAATTCTATTTGAGAGCCTTGGGCCGTCTGTATCCAGATGAAGGTGACTGATGTCAGGGACATCTTAGCTATGGACTCTTCAAAAGCAGCAAGCCATGGGTGTTAATGTTCCTCAACAGCATGTCTTTGGACCTTGAGAGTGTGAGCCTTGGGAGCGCATTGGTGTGCCTGCCAGACCACCCTCAGCACACAAGTGGAGTCCACCCCGGAACAGAAGGCAGAGCCCACCTCTGGATTTCCAACATTTCAGCATGGGGGCTCCTGGCTAGAACCATCCCATAGTGGGTAATATACACAGGACATACCTCAGCTCTGAGAAGGACAGAAATCCAGAACTGTCTATCAGTCACTCTCTCAACTGGAGGCCTCAGCTGGAGAGATGTAACTGAACTGTCTAAAGATGCTGGGCATTAGGATGTCCATATGTCTCTAGGAGTGAGGCCAGAAGACTTCCTCCTTATGCTGGGGAACTGGAGGGGAGACCTAGGCTGCCCATCTGCCTCTGGAAGGAGTTGAGACACTGGAGACCTAATTCAGTGTGCAACTAATTTCAGGAACAAAACACAGGAACTGTAACAAGCAGCCACCAACACATCTTGGAACAGCTCAGACTGGATCAAGCCGTGGCCGGCTGCCAGGGTAAGGATGTGGGAGCTTTTGGCAGACAGAGTGTTGCTAGGAACCAGGGGCTGCAGGACAGGAAGCAAAATGGTCAACTGCTGAAGCCTCTTTGTGTCTTGTGCTACAACTGTTTAGAACCTTACCCACTGTTATGGCTGAATGGTGTCTGACTGCACCCCAATTCCTATGCTGAAGCCCTAACATCTGGTACCTCAGAATGTGACTATATTTGCAGATACGGCCTTTAAAGAGGTGATTAAGTTAAAATGAGGTGGTTAGGGTGGGCCCTAATCCAGTATGGCTGAGGGTCTTTATAAGAAGAGGAAATTAGGACAGAGTCATATACATATGGAGAAAAGATCATGTGATGATACAGGGAGAAAATGGCCATCTGCAAGCCAAGGAGAGAGGCCGCTCTGCCAGCACCTTGATCTTGGACTTCCAGCCTCTGGAATTGTCGTTTCTACTACTTCAGCCTCCCAATCTGTGGCACTTTGTTCTGACAGCCCTAGCATGTGAATACATCCAGGCATAAAGTAGGGGAGGAGAATGAAATAGGACAAGATAGGGTAACCCACAGGAAACATCTGCCCACTGGTGAGCTTTCCCTGTGTACACAGGGTTGGCCAGACAGAAGGTCCTGCCACTTCTCCAGAAAGGTCAGGGCCACTACCCCTCTGCTATGGGTTGGATGTGGTTTGTTTGTTTCTGTCAGAACTCATGTTGAAATTTGATCTCTAATGTGGCAGTGTTGGGCGGTGGGGCCTAGTGAGAGGTGTTTGGTTACTGGTGCGGATCTCTCATGCATAGGTTGGTGCTATTCTCAAGGAAATCAGTGAGTGCTCGCCCCGGGGAGACTAGATGAGTTCTCTTGGGAATAGATTAGTTCCTTTGAGAGAGGATTGTTAATAGAGCCAGCATTCCCCTGGGACTTTCTCCTCTTCAAACGTGTCCACTGCCCCTTTGATATTCTCCACCACGTTATGATGCAGTTGTGATAGTCCTCACTGGAAGCCAGGGCCATGCCCTTGAACTTCTCACCCTGCAAAATTGTGAGCTAAACGTATTTTTTTAATACATTACCCAGTCTCAAGTGTTCTTTTATAGCAACACAAAATAAACTAAAATACCCCCTCAGAGGATCTAAGTTGGGGATGGGGCAGTGGCCTATCTTGGAGGAGAAACCTCGGCTAGGTGGGTCCAACCCTTGCATCAGAGCATGTGTGGCTAAGTGGCAAGGCTGAGGCCTTCAGCACAGGGGCAGGCACAGGGGCAGGAGAAGCAACTCCACGTTGGGCAAAGCAAGAAATCCATTCTGCTCTGTGGCTTTGCTGTGTGTCACTAGGGAGACAAGTGGACAGTGTCACACAAACAGCCCATTGCTGACTGGTAAGGGGAGTGGGGAACAAACCATTCTGGAGGAACAGATTGAGGACAGAGTCCTAGCACCTCTCTAGTCGAGGGAAACCTGGAAGAATGAAAGTCTTTGTGAGAACGCAAAGATTTTCCAAGTTATTCTATCTTCTCACCATTGGACCCCGAAGGCTCTCCCCTGCCCCAGCCTGCACTGCTCAATATAATCATCCACTGCAGTCACAGGGGAAAATGAGGCTGCAATTCACCCAGAATGGAAAGATCAGCTGCATATTTCCAGACCAATTTTTTCCACTGACAGTGACTCGATAAATAACCACAGGCTGGGAGAAGGAGAAGACCGTGTGGATGAGAGCTGGGTGGGGCATGTACTCTGGTTGTCCTTCCACCCTTCAAAGAATTACAGGCTGGCCAGCAAGACTCAGCCTCCAGCCATCCCTCATCCTACTGATTGTCTCTAAGGTCAACTTGTTGTCTACAGTGCAGTGAGGCACTCCCCTGTGCCTCAGACCCCACCCAGCTCTAACGTCCACCTTGTGGAGTGGACAACCCTCTACTGCAGGATCCTCTAGAACACAGCAGGAAACTTGCACATCTTTGGACTAATGAGGCACACAGGGAAAACCCTGATTCCTGCTGGAGGGGCACAAAATAGAGCAGCTCTGTTATTATTCAATGTATATGCTTTTAAAATTATTAATTTTTTAAAATTTTAGATTCAGGGGATACATGTGCAGGTTGGTTACATAGATATATTGCATAATGGTGAGGTTTAGGCTTGTAGTATACCTATCACCCAATCAGTGAACATTGTACCCAATAGGTAATTTTTCAACGCTCACCCCCTCCCACCCTCCATTGATATACTGATTACACGTTTTTGATCTAGCAAAGCTATCCACTAAAAACACTTAGAGACTAATAATGTTATACCTAAGTTTTCCACTCTCTTACTCTTTTCTGGACTTTTTTTATGGATATAAAATGTGTATACAGAAATATTAACAGACTTTAAGGGTACAGGTCAATGACTGCTGATATAAGTAGATACCTGTATAACCACCACCTTACTCAAAATAACAGGAGCAGACATTTTTAAAAGGATGACAACAGAGAACTGTTTCTTTTCTTTCTTTGCAAATCATTTCTTCCCCCAGTCACCATCCCTCAACATACATGAGAGATTTTTGAATAATGTTGGAATGCTTCTGGTTGCCTTGGACACATGCCAGCAGTGGGCTGGTTTGGGGTCTGGGAGGGTACTGGTGGTCAGGGAGACCACTCGGGGCTCACAGGACACCCACTATTGCCTGGGGCTCATTCCCCAGAGCTGCCTAAGCACGGTCTCAAGAACATGTTCCAATGCCATCCCAGTGTGCAGCAGGCCAACACAATTCAGCTTTGTAAGGCACCTGTTACAGGTTGAACTGTGTCCCCTAAAAAGATACGCTGAAGTCCCAACCTCCAGTACCACAGAATGTGGCTTTATTTGGAAGTTGTTGCAGGTGCAATTAGTTAAGATGAGGTCATACTGGAGTAGAATGAACTCATATTGAATGAATCCAGTGTGACCGATGTCCTTATAAGAAGATGGTCATGTGATGACAATGACATGACCACAAAGGCAGAGACTGTGCAAGCCAAAGAGTGCCAAGGATGGACAGCCAGCCACCCCAGAAACTGGGAAGAAGCAAGGAAGGGCTCCACCTAGTCTCAGAAGGACCAACGTTCTGGTGACACCTGGATTTAGGATTTCCAGCCTCCAGAACAATGAGAGCATACATTTCTGCTGTTTAAACCACCCAGGGCGTGGGGCCCTTTTGCCACAGCCCTAGGTGATCTGGTAGAGCAACGTACTGCACAGCGAGCACCACACAACTACAATGTCTCACCCTCCATTTTCTCCATCCCATGCCACCAAGGTGACTTTATTGAGTCCTATTCTTTAGTTTGTATTATGAGAACAACTGACTGACTTATTGAAGATATAGATAGAATTTCAAATTACATATCCTATGGGCCACACTGGTATGTCCCACGATAGCTGTAGAACCAACAATGCAATTATGGCTAAGATTTATCCACACTTACTAGGAGTCCTTCTTGCATCATCCCATTTAATTATCCCAACAGCCTTTATTAGGTGGATACGTCATTGTCCCCATTTTACAGACAAAGAAGCTGAGGCTTTGCAAAGGGAAGTAACTTGCTCAAGGTCAACAGCGGAGAAGTGGATTGCTGTTTGGACACACAGTGCCACGTGTGGTGTTAGGTGGGCTGATCTCCCCCCAGCTCCACCAAGAATCACTGTGCAAGTGTGGATGAGCCTCCTTCACAGCAACTCAAGGTGTGAAGGTCCTGTCGGAGGTGGACATGGGGAACGTACAACCTTGCTGCATCTTGGGGTATAACAAGAATGAGCAAGTCCATTTCCTGAGTGTGGTGTTTAAAGCCCCACCTCCTGGTAAAGGCAGTCAGTCGGTCCTTCTGGCTCCAAGGCTCCTTGTTGTGCCAATGAAGAGAGAACCTCAAGGTTGGCCTCTGGTAAAGCAGCTGCCAGGGAGGGCCCACCTCCCCCGGGAAGCAGAGAGTGTGCTGGCATGGTATCCTGTCGGGACTGCACGCCCAGGGCAGAAGCACACAGCGTTGCAGGGTTTATGCCTGTGGAATCGCTTGGGAAAGGTCTCCAATCTTAGAACTATCCTATTCTAGAGCTTTCTAGAATATTCAGCTCAGCTTATGCCTTTTACAATCCCAGGGCATCAGAACTATTTAAGGGATTTGCATGTAACTTGGATGAATTGTGCTATGAATCTGGGTTAGTGTGGCTTCACCTATGTCAACAAGTCTGTGCCCTCTGACTCTGACCTCTCCCCAGGGATTCCGGGGATTCCCTGATGGCGAAGATATACTTCCATGGGGCCACTCATTTTTTGCCCTGTGCATAGGAGTCTTCTGCTTTTCCCATTATCCCCATTATCCACTCCTTTCCTGTCAGCACTTAGGAACCCAACCCTCACCTCCACTTCACTATGGAAGAGAGGCCAGGTATTAGTCTGTTCTCACACCACTATAAAGAAATGTCTGGGCTGTGCGCGGTAGCTCACGCCTGTAAACTCAGCATTTTGGGAGGCCAAGGTGGGTGGATCACGAGGTCAGGAGATCAAGACCATCCTGGCTAACACGGTGAAACCTTGTCTCTACTAAAAATACAAAAAATTAGCCAGGTGTGGTGGTGGGCGCCTGTAGTCCCAGCTACTTGGGAGGCTGAGGCAGGAGAATGGCGTGAACCCAGGAGGCGGAGCTTGTAGTGAGCTGAGATCGCGCCACTGCGCTCCAGCCTGGGCAACAGAGCGAGAATCCGTCTCAAAAAAAAAAAAAAAAAAAAAAAAAGAAATGTCTGAGAATGGGTAATTTGCAAGAAAAGAGGTTTAATTGGCTCATGGTTCTGCAGGCTGTACAGGAAGCATGGCAGCATCAGCTTCCGGGGAGGCCTCAGGAAACTTACAGTCATGGCAGAAGGCAAATGGGGAGCAGGTGTCTCACATGGCCAGAGCAGGAGGAAGAGAGTGGTGGGGAAGGTACTACACATGTTTAGACAATGGGATCTCACAAGAACTCACTGTTTTTTTATTATTATTATTATTATTATTATTATTATTATTATACTTTAAGTTTTAGGGTACATGTGCACAACGTGTAGGCTTGTTACATATGTATACATGTGCCATGTTGGTGTGCTGCACCCATTAACTCATCATTTAGCATTAGGTATATCTCCTACTGCTATCCCTCCCCCCTCCCCCCACCCCACAACAGTCCCCGGTGTGTGATGAAGAACTCACTGTTGTGATGACAGAACCAAGGGGGATGGTGTTAAACCATGAGAAACCGCCCCTGTGAGCTAATCGCCTCCCACCGGGCCCCACTTCCAACATTGGGGATTACAATTAGCCAGGAGATTAGGGCGGGGACATGGATCCAGACCACATCAGGCCATATAAGGGCTGGTGTCTTCTGGCTCAGAGTTCGTGGCCTGAAGTGGCTTCTAGATGCCCACAATCAACCGTTAATGTTCCTTATCAGCAGAGCACGGTGGAGAACACAGAAAATCCCTTAGTCTCATTTTGGCCAATCGTACAGGCTGCTTCTCTAGCACATTCTCATAAGAACGCGAGTATGATGAGCTTGCCCCATGCTGGTCCTCTTGTGTTCCCTTTCTGTGGCGGTAGGTCTGTGGAAATGAAGAAAGAGAAGCATGGGAGGAACAGGTCTTCTGTGCGGAGACCACACACTGTGTGGGTGAGCCTGAGCCGTGGGAAGGTGACTGTATTTTCCTCTTTCCCCTGAGCAATGCTTAAAGTTGGGACAAAATTAAGAAGGTCTATTTTATTTATTTTGCTGTATTGTGTGGGCTGGACACATTTTTGTTTTAGTCTACTATAATTTTTTTTAAATTTTAGAAACAGCATCTCTCTCTGTCACCCAGGCTGGAGTGCAGTGGTAGAATCGTGGCTCACTGCAACCTTGACCTCCTGGGCTTAAGTGATCCTCCCACCTCAGCCTCTTGAGTCCCTGGGAGAACAAGCATAAGTCCCCGTACGTGGCGCCTGTAATTTTTATTATTAAACATTGGGTATTTGAATAGCTCTTAAGTAGCTAACAGTTGCCAGAAATCATTAAGCTGTGATTTTCCTCATTGCAGATGCCGAGTGCACCTCATTAGAGCAATGTATGGGCACTGACTTACCAATAATGAGCCCAGCAGATGGTGTGGAATGTGGGTGATGTGCAGGCTGTTTTCAGATACATGAAGCAAGGCTAGTTGGATACATTTTTACCTTTGTAATCTGCCACCAAAATCATTTAGTAAGTACATTTTATGATGCACAGAATACCGTGATAAGGTATCCTGGCTTTACAAAAACAAGTTAGCAAGTCCTTACTCTCTCAAATATGACAAGCAGTAATGACAAAGATGTCCCAAGCATCCTCTAAACGTATGTAAGTTATTAGTATTCTACCATGCTATATTCAGGAAAAGGTTTGCTAAATGCTAGTTATGATCAACAGAGACAGATTGCTTCAGCAAAATGTCAGCGAAGGGCTCTAGTCAATTTACTCAGTTACAGATGTTTGTTAAATCACTTAGCCGTGGCAGGCATGGTGGCTCACCGTGTAATCCCACCACTTTGGGAGATTGAGGTAGGAAGATTGCTTGAGACCAGCCTGGGCAACATAGTGAGACCCCGTCTCTATAAAAAAAATATATACATACATACATATATATATATATATATATGTACATATTAGCCAGGCATGGTGGCATGCTTGTCGTCCCAGCTACTCAGGAGGCTGAGGTGGGAGGATCACCTGAGCCCAGGAAATCGAGGCTTTGGTGAGCCGTGTTCATGCCACTGCACTCCAGCATAGGCGACAGAGTTAGACCCTGTCTCCAAACAACAACAACAACAACAACAACAACAACAACACAGAACAGTGTTCAGCCCCTACTGTGTTCTCAGGCACACAAGGAAGGATTGATGTCGTTCATTTCCCATATGACTTACATACAGTCTAACTGAAGGAACTAGACTAACATTCAAGAAATAATGATAACCAGCATTTAAAATTGTGGTAACGATTCTAAACATAATTGATTTATTCAACTTACTGTTAGGCTCAGCCAATACTAGATGAGTTAGGCATGACTCTTGCCTCAAAGAGCTATTTTTAATCAGGTAAACAGACACATAATAAAGTAACTCTAATAGAATTTAGCAACTGCTGGCAGTGAGCCGAGATCGCGCCACTGCACTCCAGCCTGGGCGACAGAGCAAGACTCTTGTCTCAAAAAAAAAAAAAAAAAAAAAAAAAAGAAGAATTTAGCAAGTGCTATTGAGAATTTAGAGGGCTCCTTTCTTCAGGAATTCAGAGTCACTGCTATTTTGTTAGCTATTTGTAGTATTCCCAATATACAAGTTATTATCGTTTAGAGGTGACTTTTTTTTCAGTATCCTTGAGGATATTATTGGTGAAAAAACATTGCCAAAATCTATAGTTACTGACAGAAAAAGGATGATACAAATTTATGGTGCCCAGATTTGACCTCTGACTAAATAATTTTGAGTATTTTTCTTTTAGGTAGCCATATGGTACCTTTGCAAAGACAGGTCAAATACATATCTTCAGGCTTCTTAGCAGGAAAAGAGAAACAAACATTCCACCTACCCAATTTATAGTTTTCTATCAATACAAACAGATTGGCTGCTGCTCAGAAGAAACTCAGCTACTCCAGATGTAGAAATCTCAAAAAGGAAACTTTGTAGGTATAGTGGGAAGGGTGTTAGCCAACCTTCATGAGCACAATTTTGATCTTTTTGTGTGTCTCTTTTGTAGAGCCCTGAAATGCTAGCTGATGAATATCTCCAAAGGATAATTGAGATGGTACAGTTCCATGAAGGGCCAAGTATGCAGGGCTAAACCCGGGGTAATATTTAGAACAGCTAGAGGAGTGGATAGATTCCATGATCCAAGGCAATACTCCAAAAATACTCTTTCTCACAACTGGATTTTTTTTTCAAGATGTTTGGGTAAGAAAGAGCACAGGATTATAATCTAGGTAAGGAATTAGAAGGCAAAGTGTCTGTATAGCAGATTACGTGCCGATTCAGAGGACAAGAAAACATTTCATTTATTTTAAAAATCGCATCACCATCCCAATGCTCATGTCTGCATGGATGGCCACCTGACTATGGCCCAGGAAGGCCCCGGGAATTCTTTCACCTTGCATACCAGCTAGTGTTAGTAATATCTGTAGTAGCAACATGTATGAATGCCTGCCTCTTAGCACCCTTACCAGCACTGAATATTTTAATTTTTAAGTGTTTGCCAACCCAGTGGGTGAAAAAGGGAAACATATTTTTTAAGTGTGCATTTCTTTAGCTAATAATGAGGTTGGTTATTTTCCATGTGCTTTGACCATTTTTCTATTTGGAGTCTTACTGTCTTTTTCTTATCAATTTGCATGGGCTCTCTATATATTCAACATGTTCATCCCTATTAACCTGGATCTTGAGCCACTCCTTAGTGGAAATATAAAGTGGCCAGCAGAATCCAGGACCAGTTTTGGAAAGCATGGTGGGTCTAGTTGGTTTAAAGTACTGTAATGTGGCCGGGCGTGATGGCTCACACCTGTAATCCGAGCACTTTGGAAGGCTGAGGTTGGCAGATCACCTGAGGCCAGGAGTTCGAGACCAGCCTGGCCAATATGGTGAAACCCTGTCTCTACAAAAAATACAAAAATTAGCTGGGTGTGGTGGTGCATGCCTGTAGTCCCAGATACTCAGGAGGCTGAGGCTGAGGCAGGAGAATCGCTTGAACTCAGGAGGCGGAGGTTGCAGTGAGCTGAGGTCACGCCACTGCTCTCCAGCCTGGGCAACAGAGCAAGACTCCGTATCAAAAAAAAAAAAAAAAAAAAAAAAGGTACCATAATGCTATGATGCTTTAGGCTGGTATCAAAACCCTTTACTTGTAATTCATTTTTAAACCTATCCTTACTCCCCAAAAGACTAGCAGCAAACAATGTAAGCTGCTTTAGTAATAATTTTGGTGTGAGGCAGTGGCGGAGAAGAAATGGGGGCCATAAAACAACATGTAACTTTAGCACATAATTTGAAATTATTAAAAAATGAATTCAGAATTCCATTTCCTTTCATAGTTTGCAAAGAAGGCATTTCAGTTTGACATTATATAAGTATATGCTTCTGTATGCGTGTGTCTATGTGTATTTTGTGGTTTTGTAACAAATCACTTTCCTTAGCCACTAAGGGAAAACAAAGTGTGAAGATTTCAATGACTAAGCTCAGCTATAATACTTGTTTTAAATTAAGAAATACTTTTATTGAGGTATGAAATTTACATATAGTGAAATGCACAAATCTTAGTTATTGAGTTTGGTGAGTTTTGATAAATGCATACATCTACATCGGCCATACCTCCAAGATATAGGATGTTATCTTCACCTCAGAAAGTTCTCTGGTGCCCCTTCCTAGTCAATCTGCCACTTCTAGTAAAAAACGATCAGATTTCCATCACCATAGACAAGTTTGCCCCTTCCAGAACTTCATATATGCGTATGGATTCAGATAATATATACGTACTCTTTAGTGTCCGGCTCCTGTCACTCAGCCTTATGCTTCGGAGACTTACCCATGTTGTTGTATGCAACTGTATCTGTGGGTTGCTCCCTTCTGTTGGCAAATAATATTCCATTGTTCTATGGTATGAATGATCTTCACTTTGTTGATCCAGCTTCCAGCTGATGGATATCTGGGCTGTGTCTAATTTTTATTATTTATTTATTTATTTTATTTTATCATTATTATTATTATTATTATTTTTATTTTTGAGACAGAGTCTCGATCTGTCACCCAGGCTGGAGTGCAGTGGTACAATCTCAGCTCACTGCAACCTCTCCCTCCCCGGTTCAAGTGATTCTCATTTCTCAGCCTCCTGAGTAGCTGGGATTACAGGCGCACGCCACCATGACTGGCCAGCTTTTGTATTTTTAGTAGAGATGGGTTTTGCCATTTTGGCCAGGCTAGTCTCCAACTCCTGACCTCAGATGATCCAGCCACCTTGGCCTCCTAAAGTGCTGAAATTATGGGCATGAGCCACTGCGCCCAGCCCTAATTTTTATTTTTGTAAATAAAATTGCCATGAGCATTCTTACACAAGGCTTTTTGTGGCTATAGGCTTTAACTTCTGATGGATAAATACCTAAGAGTGAAATTTCTGGGTCATAGGGTAGATGCATGTTTAATGTTTAGGAAACTTCCACGGTTTCCTGAAGTGGCTGTGCTATTTATACTCCCTCCAGAGCTATGTTAGAGTTCTAATCAGTCTACATTTTCACCAACATTTGGTGTGAACAACCTTTGTACCCACACTTTGGTAAGTATGAAAAGGTATCTCATTACAGTTTTAATTTACCTTCCTCTGATGATTAATGATATCGAATACTTATTTTTATTTTTTTATTTTTTTTTGAGACGGAGTCTCACTCTTTCGCCCAGGCTGGACTGCAGTGGTGCTATCTTGGCTCACTGCAAGCTCCACCTCCCGGGTTCAAACGATTCTGCTACCTCTGCCTTCTGAGTAGCTGAGATTACAGGTGCCCGCCACCACGCCTGGCTAATTTTTGTATTTTTAGTAGAGACGGGGTTTCACCGTGTTAGCCACAATGGTCTTGATCTCCTGACCTGGTGATCTGCCCACCTCGACCTCCCACAGTATGGGATTATAGGCATGAGCCACTGCGCCCAGCCGATATTGAATACTTTTTCATGAGCTTCTTGGCCATTTACGTATCTTCACTTATAAAGTATTTGTTGAAGACTTTTGTCCATTTCAAAAAAAAACTGTATTGTCTTTTTTAAGTTGTAGGAAGTCTTTCTATATTCTTGATACAAGTCCTTTGTCCGATATATGTTTTGCAAGAATTTTCTCCAAGATTGTGGCTTGCCTAGAAATTTTGTCTTTGATGAACAGGCATTTTTAATTTTAATAAAGCCCATTTAATCAATTTTTTTACAGTTCGTGCTTTCTGTATCCTAAGAAATCTTTGCCTATCTCAATATCAGGAAGATACTCTCTTGCTCACTCTAGAAACTTTGTGATTTAGCTTTTATACTCACATCTGTGATCCCTCTCAATGTCACTCTTATGTACAGTGTGAGGTAGCAGCTGAGGTTCACTTATTTCGCTGTGAATATTCATCTGCTCTATAAAGACTTGGCTTTCCTCATTGAATTGTTTTGTCACCCTTTTTGAAAGTCATCTTCTCATATGTGTGTGTCATAACTGTACTCACTATTCTATTTCATTAATCTATTTGCCTATTCTTTTACCAACACCAGCCTGCCTTGGCCTCCCAAAATGCTGGGATTATAGGCATGAGCCACTGCGCCCTGCCTACACTGTCTTAATTACTGTAGCTTAGTAATAAATCTTGAAGTCAAGCGGAGTATCATACTTTAACTTGAAATCCTCCTTTAATAAACTACAAGGCTTCAGACATCTATCCTGCTTCCCAAATCAGAGATACCGTAAAGTATCTATGGGTGTGCACCACCAGTCATTTATTCTCATATTGAGCTGTGAGTGCCGTGAATGTCATGAAGTCCCTTTTGCTGTGAATTTATTATGAGCACATACTTTTGAACATCTCCCACTCCACAATTATTTCCAAAGTTTTTCAAGAAAAAACTTTCTAGTATGGTGTTCTGGATTTAGAAAAAAGAGAAAAGTGAGATTAAAAAAAGAAGAGGAGAATGAAAATGAGTTTATACTTTACAGCTTTTACGTCCTAGGTATAGGTGGGGATGGTGCACTCTGGTGTCGCTCTCTCCTTGCTCTGACAAGGGAGATAGGGCAAGTTACTTAAACTCTGCAAGCCTCACTTTCCTCATCTGTAAAATGGGGATAAAATATTAAGCACTTAAGAAATGTCCTTGTGACTCCTGGGGGCAAAAAAAAAAAAAAAAAAAAAAAAAGGAATTTTGAGGACTTCCTGTATAGCTCTATTAACCCAGATGGTGCTGAACTGGAGGAGGGACGGACAGGAGTACACACACCTGAAGCGGAGATGAGCTCTCACGTCGGATCGAGCGAGTCATCCACGAAGTGCTCGTACATTTTCACCTGTGACTCAATGCGAACTTTCTCTAGGGATGTCCCTGTGAGCAAGATCATCCGTCCTGAGCAAAGGGCTCTGGCACTGGTTTTCCTCAGGGGCCCTTTTAACAAAGATTCCCAGGGAAAGAGGGGAGAGGAAGGGAGGAAAATTAGTTGGGGTAAAGGTATTTTCCCAAATCGTCAGAGCGTGTGAGCCTCTTCAGGCAGACCCCGATCTCCCCCCGGGGATGGAGTGTGCTCCTCTCCTCTTCCCTCCTTCCCCACCCTGCCCTGGCACCCGGTGCCACCCCTGCCTTCTCCCCATCTTTATTATGTTGGCCCGGGCTGCCTCACAGCATGCTCGGTTTATTTTCTAATTATTTTCTCCTGCTGCAAACTTTAGCCAGCCCTGTAGATATGATATCTGGTGATTCTGGGGGACTCAGAGAGGCATTTATTTATTTTCTTATTTATATGAGCTATATTAGTTGGGAGTTCTCCTTTTGGAACTAGTGAGGTCTAGTTTGTCCACTGCGATGATCTCTGGGGCAGCGGACACCATCCCAGGCTCTCCCGCAGGAGGGAAGCAGCTCCCTGAGCCTCGCCCCGCCCCTCAGTGGAAGAGCTATCCTGGATTAGGGATGCCCGACTCTGGTCACTTCACATCCTCCTCACTGCTCCGCAAAGGCACTTGTGCCAGATGAGAAGTCTCCTTTTGGGCAGATTCCTATGATTGAGGGGAGGCTGGGGGGGCCCTGGGGGCTGGAAGCAAAGCCTCCCACATGCTGAATTCTTATCTGCAGCTGTGCTCTGTTTGGGCCCTTCCCAGGGTGCATCTTGGAGGACTACTTGCACTGTGTCTGGTGGGTTTGCTTCCCCGTTTTCATAGCTATATAGTTTCTGCCCTTTGTAGTACTCTCACTATGCTCCCCCATGTGGACCTGACTAGCTGGAAGAAACCGAGCACGTCGGGGAGAAAATGTCATTTCTCTTTCAGATCTGATGTTTAAGAAATGTATGCTGAGCGTAAAGATTATTACTGGGGACAGACCCAACCAATTCCAGGGCAGGGTTGGCTAGCAGAAGCCTGGAGAAGATTCCCTGAGGCTGATGGGGATCCGATCAGCCTGGGAGAGTTCTGTTCTCAGGGTTTTATCTTGGGCTTTTATCTGGTCAATGAGGTCTGAAGCCTCTTTTGCAGCTCCAGAGGGCAGAGGGCAGACCAGTTCCACTCTGAGACTGTCAGTCAAACAGATGGGATAATCACTCGTCCCTCCGGTCAAGTTTGCAAGTCTAAATTTCTAGCATACCTGAAGTTGTTCTGCTCCTGAATGGTGAACCGAGACAATGTGTCCTAAGCCAGTTGCCTGCCATTCTGTGGACCTTCCGTGTGTTTCCACTTCTTATTCTGGAACCGTCTTCTGTGAAAGTGAGCACTCAGGCACTGACCGTTCCCTCCGTCGGTGCAGCCCAGCCCCCTGCCCTCCTGACTCTCCATCTTTCTAACACGGAGGGGAGTGCTGGGCTTTTGTGAGGCACTTAATGGTTATCTCCCCAGAATATAGGCTCAGCGTCGAGGGCGTAGAAGAGTTCCTTCCAGATAAGGAGCACATCTTAGGATGTGACTTGAATTCTCTAGACTTCCTTGGGTTTAGCGCTGAGTGAAGAGGCACGGAGAGGGTTTGGAGCTTTAGGGTAAAGCACTGATGGAAGAAAGGAATTCTGCCACTTACTGGGGTGCCTACGGGCTCTCCCACTTATGGTCTACGTAGGGATTCTACCACTGTACCCTACTTAAACGGACCTACCACTTGTGCGTACTGCCACTTATGGGTCTGCTGCGTGGCCGTGGGTAAATAAGCTTCCTTCTTCCCTGCTCCCATAAGGCCCTCCACCAGGCCCCCTTCATTATGGTTCTCTGTTGTTTGATGGCAGAAAGAGGGATGTTGTTTCTCTAGGGAACTTTGGAAGGTGTGACTTGGAGGTGGATGCTAGAACTTCCGCCGGAAATTGGAGCTCCAGACCCTCCTCTTCCCCAGGTTCAGTTGCTTTGTTACCCGCTCTTGCTACACCTCCTTCCCCTCAAACTCTGCCCACCTCTGAAGGGGAGAATGATTACTCACAAAGACAAACCAAGCACAGAAATAGCCAACCTATTTGTGGCTTAAATGCAAGCAGTTTTATTTTTACAGTGAGTTGCTGTATTTTCTCTAAGGATAAATCATTATCTACCAAAAATGCGACTCCAGCTCCATCTGTGATAGTTCCTGCTTTGTTAGTGGTGCCAATTAGTCACAAAACAACTGGGGCCTTCCGCCACCCACTCAAGCTGGGGGCAAAGAGAGCCACCTCTTTCTGACTCTCCCGGCCGGCCACCAACCCCTTTGGAGACTCTCTCCCTACCTAGAAGCCATCGGGCCACCCTGGCTTCCTGGCGGCTTGCTCTTCATTCACCTTGGGACCATTATCAATTTCCAAATTGGGCAGCTTGTTGTCCTCTGCCCGTGTGGACAGACTTCTGTTAGGCACTGGAAAAAGCAAATTGGTGAGGACCTCTGTTCTGTTGACTTACATAATGACGTTGGAGTCCTCCTTCTAGTTGGTCACTCTGCGCAGGGTTTCACAGCACCCATGGGGACAGGGTGAAATGTTCATAACATCTGGGCAGCCCCTGATCTGAGAAGCAGCGAATGTGGAGCAGAGAGGATCCCTCTGTCGTATCCCATCTCCTTCATCCCTCATTTCCTTCGGGATCAATTCCTCCCCTGCTGGGATTGGAAGCTTCCTGGGCAGCCTCTTATTTTTCCCTAATCATGTTTTCTTCCGTGGGTCTGATCCTTTCCCACCCGTGCTCCTTCTTTTCTGCCTTGCAGTCTGCTTTAGATGGTGCCTGTTTCCTTTTTAGTTTCTGACCATCCTCTGGGAAACTAAAGTTCTTCAGGAGGCTGAACTTCTCCTTCCTTGGAGCATCAGAACCAGGTAATGAGAACACCTTTCCAACTTCAAGACCGAGTTCACCTGGTCTGTTGATTTGCTGCTCAGCACTGCCTACCCAGTAGATGCCTGCTGGCTTCAGGGGAAGCTCTCTTCTCTCCCCTTTCTTCTTCCCACTGGGAGGGCCGAGCTGCTGGTCAGGCTTCCCACAAGAGTAGTTTGGCTCTGCCCTGGGACTATGGTCTTCCTGCTTACGAAAACAGTCGGAGGGGAACTTCATCTGTGGGTTCCTATGTCTGCTTTCCCACAGAGTCTGAAACTGCCTTCTTACCCCTTTTGATATAGTTGGTCCCCGAGGTTCTTAATACTTTGGCACAATATCTATGAAGGAATCCCTTTAAACAAGAGAAAATGCTACCCTGAGTGAGGGGTGGGTCTTCAGGCTTGGGATCTCAGACTTGGCTACCTGAGATCCAAGAGATCCAGAATTCTCAGCCTTTGGGGCTTCACATTGAGTTATTTGAAAAATGGGTAACATATTGGCCATTTTTGGTTTTTAAAAGGTAGAAAAACAAAAAACCTAACCAAACAACAACAACAACAAAAACACAAAAAATGCAGAACAGGGATCGGGGAAAAGGAATTTGCTCTCATGTTCCTGACTGCACGGGTGAGAGTTGGCATCTAACAGAAACAGCTACTCCCAGGAGGAGCCCCCGGACCAGGCTGGGACGCAGTCTGGGCATGGCCAATGGTGCAGACCCCTGCCTTCACCCCTGAACACACTCCTTGGCTTGCTTGCTTTTCATAGCATCCTACGGGTCTTATATACTACACTGAGCATGATACTCTCCGAAACTGGGTTGGAGAAGGGAACAAATCCTTAACTATCTAGCCATGTGTCTCCCGTATGTCTCTCTGGGTCTATACATAGACTCATCTCATCATTACTAGGTTTTGAGTTAATATTATTAGCTCCATTTTACAGATGAGAAAACCAAGTCTTAGAGAGCTTGGCAGAGGTCACATAACTTATTAGAAACTGAGCTGGGAATTTGAGATGGTTCTGTCTTTCTACTACACATGCGGTTTTGCCCTTCCATGTGGCATTTCTCCACGTCATCTTTCTCTTTAGCCCTGGCTGGCCTTAGTGGTTCAAGGTGATCCACTGCCTTGCATTATCACCAGCTCACACCCCGCTCTGGATTGGCGTGAAGATTTTCACTTGAGTGTGTCACTGAATGATGCCATTGGAAGCTTCTGCTGATAAGCGTGGGACCATCTGCTTGGCACATCTCAAATATTTTCAGCAGTGGGAGAGCAGCTCTGATTCCTTCAGAGATGAGAGGCTGCAGCCATCCTTCGAGATGTTGGGACCGGAGACCCTGCAGGCTGGCTGGGCATTGATGCCCCAGATGTGAAGGGGCAGCCAACCTGTTGGCCACGTCTGACCCTTCCTGAGCAAATGACACCAGTGAGTCTGCGTCCCAGTTTTTCATTGCTTAGCTGTCCTTGACAACCAGAGTAAGATTTTCTCTCTTTAAAAAGCTATTTCTTGGATAACTCTTTTCTGTGCTGGTTTTTCTTTCTTTTATTTTTTTCGGTGTGTTAGATGTTTGCCGTTGGTGTGTGTTGGCAAAAACTTCTCTTTCCTCCTGCCTTTGTTTTGGAAAATTTACTTCTTTGCTGAGTTAACTGTTCCCAGACATTGTTTTTCAACTTCAGGGTTGAAACTTCGCAGTAGCGTTTTCTTTTTTAACTCGTTGCAGGGGAAAGAATCTTAGGATCAATTCACAGTTTGAATGGTGGACTTGGAGGTTTTCAAGGCTGCTTAATGAAAGCTTATGAATGATAAAGAAGTTGAGGTTTGAAAGAGTTGTTACTGAATTTGATTCCTCTGGAGAAATCACTTGGCTATCAGCTCTTTGGCATCACAGGGGCAAGCTGTATTGATTTTTCTTCATTTTTCCTTAGTGGGCACTGGCATCAGTATTAGCTTCTGTTGCTTATGAAGCCGTATGCATTCCTTTGGTGACAAGATGTCTGTTAAAAGGAATCTCCTGCCCAGTCTTGATCTTTGGTATGAGCGTCTTAGCAACACTTCCCAGCCAGGATACTTAGGAGTAATTTGGTGAGAGAATGTATAGTGTGTTGTTAGATTGCTATGGGTGCAGCAGTAAAAAGGTGGTAAGAAGCTGGCCTCTAGCAGAGTGCCACGGCCTCGGCACTACTGGCATTTTGGGCTGGGTAATTCTTTGCCGTGTGGGCTGTCTTGTATATTATAGGATGTTTAGCAGCATCTCTGGCCTCTACCAACTAGATACCAGTAGCACACTCCTCTCCATTGTGACAACCAAAAATATCTTCAGGCATGCCAAACATCCCTTAGGGGACAAAATCACCTTCCCCCCTTTTAGACCAGGGCTCTAAATTGATCCTGTGGTATGTTTGGAAAGGGAGCAAGAAGTCTCTGCTTCTGCGTACAGATGGCCCTAGTGTGGGGAAGACGGGAATGATGCATTTAATACCAGGACAGATGGTCCTGCCCTGTACATTCCCATCGGAGCCCTTGCCTGCCATGGAAATTCCATCTCACAAATGGGTTTCTGTTTGTCCAGGTGACTGCACACACACACAGGGAAGAATTTGCCCTTTTCTCTGGATCTGCACACCTAGAAATCCAGCCTAGGGTCAGGCTGTCTTTTAAGTTGCCTGGGAACAACAGGCGCTTTCAGATGGCCCACTCCCCCAGCCTGAGTTTTATTGGCTTTTCTCTCTTTCCTTTTTTCTCCCTGCCTTTCTCCCCAGCCCCCTCTTTCTTTCTTCTAAGAGTGATGTCCTAGGCTGGGTATCTGGGGCCATGGAAGGACTGTGCTCAACTGAATGGGAATGTGGAAGGGGTTGTTTGCTTCTGAGGTCTCTAGAGAACACTTGAGCAGCATAAATGTATGGCATTTAGAACTCTCTGCTGACTCTGAGTCTCCTTGTTTTTTCTATCAGCTCCACCACCCATCTGTTCCTCTCACTTTCATTGAGAGGTAATTGCAGCCAGCAATCTCAGGTGGACCTGGCAGGACACAGGCTCTGCAAAGCCCACATCCTTACACATCAATGGAAACCACCATGCTTGTTTTCCCTGCTTGTTGATTCATTATCTCAGTTTGGCATTTCCATGAGACTCATATTGGCAAAGTGCTGTTCAATCTCTAGCATTTCTTATACCCCAGCCTTTCAAACTACATTAAAATGCCAGCATGTGAAGCAGTTGAGACCCAGTGGGGTTAATCTGCTTGATGGAGGACTTGCCTCTCATGGTCAGTTTGACTGAAAGTGCAGCTCCCAGGCCAAGCAGCCGTAGGCACAAGCAGAATAGGCTGTGGCCTCTGCACTGTACTTTGATCAATGTCAAAACCCCTCTTCTCAAAAGTCTCTTCTGCATTCAGATGCGATACTGCCCACAATTCTTTGAGTTTTGCAGGAAGGTGGTGGGTGTTAAGTCCTACTTTCCACCATGGTCACCCTGGCTTATGGTGTCTTGTGTGAGGTGCTGGAGCCTGAATAGGCAAGGATCATCCCCATGGGGGCAGCCACGCCGGGGTGAGGGCAGTGGCAGTGGTGACATGGCAGGGGATGTCAGTGCTGGGCAGGGCAGGATATCTGCATGGGGGGTACAGGGAACTGGTGCTGGGTGTTGGAGCTCCTGCAGTGTGAGGTCTGTGTCTCAGGGTAGGGGGCAGGGGGAGCACTGGTCCAACAGGAAGTAAAAGGGCCCAACAAAGTGAGGAGGGCATCTGTGCAGGGGCAGGGGAAGAGCAGTGGCAGACATAGGCAACCATTCATAGGTGGGTTGATCAAATGAGTAAATGCATAGAGGGCCAAGGGAGCCAGGTTTCTCAGAGAAGGGAGTTACAAATATGGAGAGGGAGAAAACTCAAATGAATTCACTGGTGGTGGGTCAAAACTGGAGATATTGGTGTCAATTTATGATTATATGTATATATTTTATAAAGATATAAAAAGACATAGAAATACAGCCATAGGTGTGTGTATGTATGACTATACATAAATGTTATCTATGTACATATATTCCTTAGCCCTGCCACTGAGAGGGGCTGGGAGCAGCGACAGCCTCCATGCAATGAGCACATTTTACACCCAGATCTTGGCTTCTAAATATAATTATTTACTGAAAGGAACCAGGGCTCCTTGGAGAAATGGCTGATTCTAGGCACTAGGGCAGGGGACATACAAGATTATGGTAAAGTGTCCAGTTTTTTGTGTTGGAAGGCTATTAGGCATATTGGAGGAAGTGTGGACCAGCGGGGAAGGTTGGATTGCTGTTTTGGCCCACTGAGACTGCTCTGCCACCTGATGAGGCTCAGTTGGAGATACCCAGGACATTTGGGTATATGGGTCTGACATGCTGGGGAGATGTGTGAGCTAAAGCTGTGCATTTGGATTTCATCAGAAAATGGTGATGGTTGAAATGGTGGGATTGAACAAGACCACCCAAGGAGAGTCTGTGGAGTAGGAAGGGAAGAGGGTCGAGAACGGAGCCTGCAGACTGGCCAACACGGCAAAACTCCGTTTCTACTAAAAATACCAAAAAATTAGTCAGATGTGGTGGCGGGTGCCTGTAGTCCCAGCTACTTGGGAGGCTGAGGCAGGAGAATCACTTGAACCCGGGAGGCGGAGGCTGAATTGAGTGGAGATGGCACCACTGCACTCCAGCCTGGGCGACAGAGTGAGACCCTGTCTCAAAAAAAAAAAAAAAAAAAAAGAATGGAGCCTGGTGGAACTCCAAGGTGCAAAGGGCAGTGTAAGAAGAGATCCAGCGAAGGAGAAAGAAGAAGAACTGCAGGAAAGCAGGAGGAGAGCCAGAGGGAAGAAATATGCTAGGCTCTGGCATCATCTCGGAGACAAGAGGCGAGGAGACGTGAAGTGGGGTTCCATAGCAACATTCATGCATTGGGGAGGGGCTCGAGCCCCAGATCTTGTCTCACCTGCTTCTAGAGGACTTGGCTGAGAGCGCTGCGCTGTTGAATGCACTGGCTCCTTTCTCTTATTTGTTCTGATGAAAGGACATGCCTGAATTGCCCCCTCTGACATCAATTATCTTTACCCATAATGGTGAAGCATGGTGTCCTTCATCAATAGATGTGTTTATTGATAATAGTGATAGCTAGGAGCCACTCTGTTTCACAGAAGAAAGTGAAAACAGAGACAATATTTCTGAAAACAACTCATTCCTGTGTGTTTGTGTTGTTTTGGTTATGGGTTTGGTATTGGGTAGGTGGTGCTTTAATAAATAAAAATCCATTCTTTGATAAATAAGATCCATCCTTTGATAAATTAAAAACTCCATCTTTTAAGGATCTTAATTACTAACAACCCAGTTGATTGTGCGGTTGCTTCTGGCGACATAAAAGCCGTTAATAAATGTTCCAAAAGTCCTGACAGCCCCATGAATGGGTGTGTGAACTTCACACATAGACGGACTGTTGACAATGAGCTGGTGTGTGTGTATGTTGGGTGGGGCAGGGGAGGGCTAGAAATAGTGCCAATTTGGACCTGGGGCAATCCAGGCTCTGCTGCTGCCTTTGTTACTAAGTATGTAACCTTGGACTAGTCCTGAGTTAATTTCCTCACCTGGAAAAACAAGGGGGTGGTTTGCAGTATCTGCATGATTTTTTCAAGCTCTAAGTCTTAATGATCAGCACAGGATGGTCTGACTTTACCAATAAGAAAGTGTTTTTAAGAAAACTCCAAGCCGCATCCTTTCATGTCTTTTATAAAATACTCCAGTTGCTGGGGAAAAATATAACATATACATATGTTGTAACGTATAACATATAACAAATTGCCATATTTACAAATGTTTCTTGCAGTTCAATAAAAGAAATGGACATAGAGTATGAAAAAACAATCCATCAAAAAATACAAGTAACCGTTAACATAAAAGAATGTCCAACCTCATTAGGAATCAAATAAATGCAAATTAAAACAAGGTATCTTTTATCATCTATCAAATTTGGGAATTTAAGAAACTGAAGATGTTGTAGAAAAAGAAACATATATATGCTGTGAAAAAAACTTTATATACTGTTGATGTTGGTATTAATATAATTGGCATGGTTATTTTGGATGACAGTTTGTTAATACACATTTAAATCTTGAAGAACGTTTATACCCTTTGGTCTAGCAATTCCACTTTTAGAAATATGTCCTAGGGGAATAATTAGAGATGTGCACAAAATTTGCATCCATATGAATTCATTACGGTGCTTTGTTTTTAAAAATAGCGGTGAAAAATCAGCAGCAAATGGATATGTCCAAGGCTAGGGGATTATTAAAAATGAATAATGAAAGCTGGGCACAGAGGCTCACGCCTGTAATCCCAGCACTGCGGGAGGCCAAGACAGGAGAATCAGTTGAGTCCAAGAGTTTGAGACCATCCTGGGCAACATGGGAAAACCCTGTCTCTACAAAAAATACAAAAACTCAGCTGGCATGGTGGCAAGTGCTCTAGTCCCAGCTACCTGGGAGGCTCACTTAAGCCCAGGAGATAGAGGCTGCAGTGAGCTGTGATCTCACTGCTGCACTCCAGCCTGGTTGACAGGGTGAGACCCTGTCTCAAAATTATAAATATATAAATAAATAAACAAATAAATCATGAGACCTTCAGTTAGTGATACTGAAGTCATACTTTTAGAGTATATACTGACATGAGTAAATGTTTACAATATGATACTGAGTAAAAAAAGGTAGAAAGAAAGGATACCAAAAGATTATAAAATGCAATCTCAATTTTAAAAACGAGCGTGTGTAAGACATTGAACAAAGACCAATGGAATATCCTAAATGTTGAATCTGGTTAATTTTTAATAGTAGTTGTATGTGTGGATTTTCTGAATTTTCTTCAATGAGCACATACTGCTTTAAAATTAGAAGAAAGGCGATAAACATTTAAAAGAAAATATCCCCATTTTGTGTTAAGATTAAAGAGGCTATAAAATGAGCCCTGCTGGGACTGTAACTGCCTAAAGGGTTCTCTTTGCCTGCTGCCCAGACAGAGCCGATTTATCAAGACGGGGGAATTGCAATAGAGAAAGAGTTTAATTCATACAGAGCCAGCTAAACTAGAGACCAGAGTTTTACCACTCAAATCAGTCTCCCTGAAAATCCAGAGACTGGGTTTTTTTGTTTGTTTGTTTGTTTGTTTGTTTGTTTTTGAGACGGAGTCTTGATCTGTCACCCCGGCTGGAGTGCAGTGGCTCGTTCTTGGCTCACTGCAAGCTCCGCCTCTCGGGTTCACGCCATTCTCCTGCCTCAGCCTCCCAAGCAGCTGGGACTACAGGCGTCCGCCACCACGCCCGGCTAATTTTTCTGTATTTCTAGTAGAGACGGGGTTTCACCATGTTAGCCAGGATGGTCTCGATCTCCTGACCTTGTGATCCGCCCGCCTCGGCCTCCCAAAGTGCTGGGATTACAGGCCTGAGCCACCACCCCCGGCCGGAGACTGGGGTTTTTTTTAAGGATAATTTGGTGTGTAGGGCACCAGGGAATGTGGAGTGCTGATTGGTCAGGTTGGAGGATGAAGTCACAGGAAGTTCAAGCAGTTTGTTTTTGCGGTCTTCTGTTTCTGGGTGGGATCACAGAACCGGTTGAGGCAGATTATCTGTCTGAGTGGCACCAGCTGGTGCATCAGAATGCAGGGTCTGAAAAATGTCTTGAGCACAAATAACAGATTTTACAACAGTGATGTTATCCCTAGGAGTAATGGGGAGGTAGAGAATCTTGTGGCCTCTGGCTGCATGACTCCTAAACCATAATTTTGAATCTTGTGCCTAACTTGTTAGTCTTACAAAGGCATTCTGGTACCCAGGCAAGAAGTGGGTTTGTTTTGGGAAAGGGCTGTTATTGTCTTTGTTTCAAAGTTAAACTATAAACTAAGTTTCTCCCAAAGTTAGTTCAGGCTATGATCAGGAATGAACAGGGGCAGCTTAGAGTTTAGAAGCAAGATGGAATCAGTTAGGTGAGATCTCACACTGTCATAATTTTCTCACTGTTATAATTTTTGCAAAGGTGGTTTCAGGGTAATCATTTTTTTGATGGCAGAGCTCTTTGAACAGGCAGGTGTGGTTTGATCAGTCCCTGCGGACTGCTTCACAGTGGACTACTTCACATGCAGAGACCACATAGTGGCAAAGTCACAACTAGAAATTAAACAAGTCTTTTTTTTTTCTTTTTTGAGATGGAGTCTCACTCTGTTGGCCAGGCTAGAGTGCAGTGGCGCGATCTTGGCTCACTGCATCCTCTGTCTCCGGGGTTCAAGTGGTTCTCCTGCCTCTGCTTCCGAGTATCTGGGATTACAAGTACATGCCACCACGCCCGGATAATTTTTGTATTTTTAGTAGAGACAGCGTTTTACCATGTTGGCCAGGCTGGTCTTGAACTCCTGACCTCAGGTAATTTGCCTGCCTCAGTCTCCCAAAGTGCTGGGATTACAAGTGTGAGCCACTCCACCCAGCCTAAACACGTCTTAATAAAAAATATTCCCTACAATATGGTGACTTTAATTCCTTAAATAGGAAAGGTTAGAGGCAGACTAGATTCAAAAACTTAAGTATAGAGAGGCTGTAAACAGTAAAGTCTTAAAAATAGGATTAGGCCCCAGAGTGTAATGGAGAGAGCTCCGGGCTAAGATCAGGCACGCTGGGCCACAGGGCTTCTCAAACTGGTTGTGAAGGTTGGCCTGCCTCACAGGCTCTCCAACAACCACTCACTGTCCTGTAAAGTTGAGGGGTTTGGTAGAACAGTGATTTCCAGACTCCTCCTCCTCCTCCTCCTCCTCCTCCTCCTTCTTCCTCCTCCTCCCTCCTCCTCCCTCCTCCTGCCTCTTCCTCCTCCTACCTCCTCTTCCTTTTCCCTGTTCCTCCTTCCTCTTCCTCCTCCTTCCTCCTCCTCCCTCTTCTTCCTCCTCCCTCTTCCTCCTCCTCCCTCCTCCTTCCTCTTCCTCCTCCTCCCTCTTCCTCCTCCTTCATCCTCCTCCCTCTTCCTCCTCCTCCCTCTTCCTCCTCCTCCTCGTTCCTTCTCCTTCTCCCTGCTTCTCCTTCCCCTTCTCCCTTCTTCTCCTTCTCCTCCCTTCTCCCTTCTTCTTCTTTCTTCTTACTGTCTCAGCTCATGGTCAGAAGTCAAGTGACCTGGATTTCTGCCTGGCCAGCACTGTGATTAAGATCCACATAAGTTTCTGGGCACTACAGCCCTGCAGGACCCAGGGAGCACCAGACACACTGGAGCAAAGGCAGTTGGTAGGCCCTTGGGCTGTGCAAAACGGTGGCTCTGAGCCTGGCATGTTTTTTAATCCTTAGGTTTTTCCCTCTAAAAAGGGGGCAATGATGTCATCCTTATCAGCCTCCCAAGCTGATTTCAAGGCTCCAAAGCTAGGATGGAAGGAAAGGTGCTTTGGCCCCAAGAGCCCCACACTGCGATATTCTCACAGTCTAACTTATTTCTTTCTCCCTAGACATCTCTTTCGTGAGAAGAAAGAGAGGAGGGAAGATGCTCTGTGATGCTGCCAGTAATGCTGACCAGTCGTGGTGCTGTCACCTCCTTGGCTGTCTTTGCAATCTGTTCCCAACTGAGGTTTCCATTGCAGTGTAACTGACCACTCCAGGGGCCACTGAGGGCTGTCAGGATGAGCTATCCCTCCACCCCAGGCTGTCACTGCCAGGTAAACATGCATCCCTGCAAATGCAAGTGCTGTGTAAGAAAAATGATTGGTGGCCGGGTGTGGTGGCTGATGCCTGTAATCCCAGAACTTTGGGAGGCTGAGGCAGGAGGATGGCTTGAGCCCAGGAGTTTGAGACCAGCCTAGGCAACATGGTGAGACCCCATCTCTGTAAGAAATAAACAACAACGACAACAAAAATTAGCTGTCATGGTCGTGAGTGCCTGTAGTCCCAGCTACTCAGGAGGCTGAGGTGGGAGGATCACTTGAGCCCAGGAAGTCAAGGCTGCAGTGAGCTATGACTGCACCACTGCACTCCAGTTTGGGCAACAGAGCAAGACACTGTTTCAAAACAAAACAAAACAAAAGATAATGAGGCCGGGCGCGGTAGCTCATGCCTGTAATCCCAGCACTTTGGGAGGCCTAGGCGGGTGGATCACGAGGTCAGGAGTTCATGACCAGTCTGGCCAAGATGGTGAAACCCCGTCTCTACTAAAAATACAAAAATTAGCTGGGTCTGGTGGCAGGTGCCTGTATTCTCATCTACTCGGGAGGCTGAGGCAGGAGAATCGCTTGAACTCGGGTGGGAGAGGTTGCAGTGAGACGAGATCGCGACACTGCAGTCCAGCCTGGGCGATAGAATGAGACTCCATGTCAAAAAATAATAATAATAAAAATGAAAAATGTTTGGCATGTCTGGGCAGAGAGCCTCTGGTCCTAGAATTGAGTTGACCCAGAGAGAAGTTACCCTACTGATTCACCCTGCAGTGCAAGTGCCTACCTCGTCTGCATGGCTTTCTGAGATCTCAACTGTGTGGTCTTCTCTCTGCTGTTGGGGAAGGCTCACTGAGCCAACACTAAATTATTCTGAGCTAGACTGTTTTGTCAGCTAGCAGCAATTACCCTTCTACTCTCCTCACACTTCCCAACCTCAAATATCCCCGTCAGTCATCCACCGACAGAGTTGAAGAATCCACAAAATGACCAAGGAGCTGGGGGAGGAAAGGGCTAGGGTGACGAGCACGTAGGGCCGGCTGTTGTCAAGGCATTTCTCGCCATCTGCTATTTCACTTCAGAGACCGAAACTCAGTTGGTTGGGTAAGACTGGGAATGTGATTTTTAGCAATGTGTTTGTTTAAATAGAACCCCGCTATAAAAACAATTTGGAGGATTATGATTCGTTTTTGAATGAGAACTAGTTTTAATGGAATTTTTTATGTGCATTCCAATCATGACTAAAATCCGCATCATGATCAAAGTCTGCCTGAGTACTGTATGTGCTTCATGAGTTGTGCTCTAACCATTAGAAACCCATGTTTATTCAGTGTGATGCCCTGCACTGAAAGTGGTGGTTTTCTCTCGTGGGGAAGCAGAGTGTATTCTTAGAACTGTTATAATGGGCTTTATTTCTTGAAACAGTTTGATAAGTATTTATTAAATGCCTACTGTGTGCAAGTGTTGGAGATTCAGATGCAAAAAGGATAAGGTCCTGGTTTCAAGGAGTTTGCTGTTTAGTGGGTGTATTAGGCTGCTCTGACTGCCATAACAAAATACTATGGACTGGGTGACTTACACAACAGAAATTTATTTTCTGACAGTTCTGGAGGCCAGAAGTCCAAGATCGAGGCACCGTCAGGGCTGGTCTGGTGAGGGCTTTCCTCCTGGTTTGCAGAAGGCTGCCTTCTCCCTCTGTCCGTACATGGCTTTTCCTCTGTGCCCTCACAGAGAGAGATCTCTTATGTCTCTTCCCCTTCTTACAAGGACACCACTTCTATTGGATTAGGGCCCCACTCTTAGGACCTTATTTAGCCATAATTACCTCCCTACAAGGCCCTATCACCGAATAGAGTCACATTGAGGATTAGGACTTCAACATATGAATTTTGGAAAGGAACACAATTCCGTCCACAACAGTCAATAAGATAGAATTTTAACTCTGAGGCCAGGCACAGTGGCTCTCACCTGTAATCCCAGCACTTTGGGAGGCCGAAGCAGGGGGATTGCTTGAGGTCAGGAGTTTGAGACCAGCCTGGCAACACTACAAAAAATTAAAAACAAAATTAGCCAGGTGTGATGGTGCATGCCTGTTGTCCTAGCTGTTCAGGAGGCTGAGAGGGGAGGATTGCTTGGGCCTAGGCATTTGAAGCTGCAGTGAGCTATGATTGCACCATTGTACTCTAGCCTGGTCAACAGAGTGAGACTATCTCTAAACTTTTTTTTTAATTAAAAAATTTTAACTCTGCTCTGTTACAAGGAGAAATGTCTTGGGTATGAACATAGCAAGATCCCATCTCTACAAAAATAAAAATAAAACACAAGCCAGGTGTGGTAGCATGCACCTGTAGTCCCAGTGATTTGGGAGACTGAGGCAGGAGTGTCACCTGAGCCCAGGAGTTCAACCTGCAATTAGTTACGACCACACAGCTGCACTCTAGCCTGGGCAACAGAGCAAGACCCTATCTCTAAAAAAAAAAAAAAAATTAATGAAAGAAGATGCAATTTGAAACACCTTTCTCAGATGAATTTTGTGAATTTATTTGGAAACTTTTGGGGAAAAGAAGAAAAGTTGAATACAGAAATAGAAACTGGTATTGTGAAAGGAAAGGGTAGGACAGGCCGCTTGGGAGAATGGGTCAGTAGTAAAAATAGAGCATGCCTTGAATCTAGGATGAGCAAGCAGGGTGACAGAGAAGGGGAGGTGACCTGGGGTAACTGAGAGCTCTCTCCACACAGCAAGAAGTTGCAGCTGAAGGATGTGGTCCATGAGAGATCCCAGGGCATGGACCAGAGGCAGAAAGAGGATCTTGTCAGTAACCTCAAAAACTCGGATTAGGTCCTGAATTTACATCTCTGGTCTTTGGTTTAGGTTTGTAATTAAAAGATGAAAGCACTTGGCTTCCTTGCATAAGCGACTTTGGTTTTGCCATGGCTGTCTACCTGTGTTGGCCAACATGGCAGCCCCGAGTCACATGAGGCTCCTGAGCATAGGGAACCAGGCTCATCTGAAGCGAGATGCACTGCAAGAGTGAAGTACCCGCTGCATCTGGGGGACTTAATGCATGCAAAAGAACATGAAATACCTCATCCATATTTTTGGTATTGATGACGTGTTGAAATAATATTTTAAACACATTAGGCTAAATAAAGTATGTTATTAAAATGGATTTTGCTGGTTTCTTTTTACTTTCTTTAACATGGCTATTAGAACTTCACTTGCACAGGTGGCCCACGTTGTGTTTCTGTTGGACGGCGCTGGTCCAGGCCCTTGTCACCCCTACCTTTTGTGTACTTTGAATTTTCTTCCCTCTCTCCTCTCTCTCCAACACCAGCAGCAGCAGGAGCAACAAAACACCAGTCTCTGAAGTGCGTGCCGGCCACTGTATCGCCTCCCACCCTCCTTGCTGTGGTTGGTTCGGACCCCTGGGCTGCTGTCCCAAATTCCTTGACGATTTCAGCACCTGGATTACAGCCACGTTTTCCAACAATATTCCTGGTCTCCAACACTATTTCTCAGCGATTTCAGCATCTGTGGATAATTCTTCCAGCCCTGTGGCTCCAGGTTCTGCTCTCAGCTCAAATGATCTTATCCTCCACTCTCCCTCAGCCCTTCTTTTCCACAGTCACACTCTGCACTTAATACTGATAACCCCAAAACTACACTGCCCCAGGCTCAGTTTTAAGCGTCACGTTCTCCAGCCCCCACCTCCTCCTTCCCCTTCAGTGCCTTTAGTACGGGGACTTCAATGATTCCCTGACACCGCTGGGACCTCCGATATGTAGCTCCTATTTCCTGCTCACATCTGTTACCTCCCTCATGCCCTCATTTTTCTCCTAACCCCACTGGGCTCCAGAGTCCATCATCGTAGCCCTTCCCTTCTATGTGCTTTGCTTCCTTTGACCCCCACTCTGTGTCGTACCCGCCTGGTAAACCCCAGCCCTGGTTAAATCCACCTCTCCTCTTTCTCCATGTCGGCACCTGGACAGCTGAACTAAGCCGTAGAGAAGCACAGGTGAGGCTGAGTAGTCTCTCCCAGGTTCCCGAGCACTAAGCTGGGCGGGCTGTAGGTTAGCCTGGCTGGAGATCCTGCACTTTGTGTATGTCCCTAGCCCTCTCTTTCCCTCATGTATTTCACATCGTGCCCTCTCTCCTTAAACCCTGAACATCTCCTCACTCTTAGCTGATGACCTTGCTCCTTACTTTACTGTAAAAGAGATACTGCACTTTCAGAAGACAGCTTCTCGCCTTGGGCACTCCCACAACCACATCTACCCACCTCACCGGATCTGCAGCCACACACCCTGCCTTCCCCTTCACCAGGTATAAATTATGCTGTGGCAAGGCTGTGACTCCTCCCAGCTCTAGACCCCTACTTCCTGACTCCTCAGTTATTTGCTTTCTATCCATGTATAATTCTTATCCATGTATCACTTCTCAACCCCACAGCCCCCAAGAGGGTTGTCTACACTCACTGTCTTCACCTGTTCTCCTCCCATTCTGTCTAAACCACTTGCATCAGGCATTCATTTTGTCCAGTCTACTGAAAATACTCCTACCAAGGTCAGCAATGGCTCCACTCCCATGGTCAATATCAAGTTCCGGGTCTCAGCCCACTTGAACTTGCAGTAGAATTTAGCCCAGTTGATTCCACTTTCTTCCCCTTGAACTCGTTCTTACTTGGCCTCCTGGGAGCCCTTCTTCCCCAGTTGTCCTCCTGCCTCTCTGTCAGGTCATCCTCAGTTTCCTCTCCTTCTTCCTCCTCATCTCCCCAGCCTCTAACTTTGAAATGCCTCAAGGCCCAGTCCTTGAATGTCTTCTCCTTTTTAATGGCCCGTATTTCACAGATACTCTCATCTTGCCTCACAGATACCCTCGTCTTGCCTCACGGCCTCAAATTCCACCTGTTTGCATACAACACCCACATTTATATACCCAAGCTACAACTTTCCTCCGGCTCCTGACACTCCCCTGGACATGGCCTGGCTGCCTCACAGGCTTCTCGAACTCCACAGGCCCTGCTAACCCGCTTCACCTGCACCTGTCCATTCAGCAAATGGCTAAACACGTATTCTCTCTTTCTACCACAACACGTATCTCTTCCGTCAGTGAATCAAATCGAAGACCTCCCACCAGATAGTACTACCTCTGCCACAACCTGATTTATGCTAACATCCTCCCTGTGTCTAGGCCAGTGCCTTCACCTCCCACCTGACCTCCTCCTTCCTGCCATGGCCCCTAGAGTGTCACCTGAACACAGGGGCCATACCGAGGCTGTTCACGCCTCAGTCCCCCAAGTTAACCACATTCCTCCTCTCAGAACCTCCTGTGGTTTATTATCTCACTGGGGGTAAAAGCACCAGCCCACAAAGCCCGTTTGGACCTGGTCGCCAAAGACCCCTGCCTTCAGCACCTGACTGTTCTCCTTGCCGGGCCGTTCCTGCCTTGCTGGCCTTTCTGCGGTTCTTCACTCCTGGCTGCCTCCTGCTTCTGGAACTTCGAACTTGCTGTTTCTTTTGCCTGGAATACTTTTCCCCCAAGAACCTGCTGGCCTCGGTCGCCTATTTCCTTCATGTCTTTGCCCAAGTGTGACCTCATGAGTGAGACGTTTCCCATCACACTATGGACGATGGAACCCCCAGGTCCCTGCCACTCCTTTCCTTTAATGATGCTTTACTTTTTTCCATAGAACTGTTCACGCACTGACATCAGTTTGATTGTTGTTGCTGTTATTGTATTTTGCTTGACTGCCTCCCTACTGGGATACAGACTCCACCAGGCCGGCACTTTGTTTTATTTACTGCCATGTCCCAGTGCCTAGCACAGTGCCTGGCATGGGCTAAATGTGTGGGGGGAGAATTTGGGGAACATGGTGGTCTTACTTGCAAACTTCTAACAAGGCCTGGTCTCTACAGCAGGGCTTTGGTTAGGCATGACAGGGCATGCGAGCTCTCATCCTGTGTGGGTTCTTTTCCGGGTCTCTGTCTACTAATTATGAAGTAAAAGGAAGCTCTCCTCCAGTGAAAGTAATTTCCTGCATCCCATTAGAACAGCTGAGGGAAGTGTCAATGGGATAGGTGTGATTGGGACCACGGAGGCAGTGTCCTCCTGGGTGCCTGGATCACATCGCTGGAAGGAAACACCTGTTTCACCAACCCAAAGGCTACCTGCTGGTCCAGGGTCCAGGCCCGGCTGTACTGAGATCACAGCTCAGGGCCCTGCACATGCTGGGGCTCTGCTGACTTGATTCTAGAAATGTCTAATATCACCAGAACCATTCAAGTGCCACGAAATAACACATTTATGTATTATTCTGCTTCAGGTGAGCTCAGGAGGAAAAGACAGATATCTATTCACTAAAAATATTCTTTTGATTGGCCGGCACGGTGGCTTACACCTGTAATCCCAGCACTTTGGGAGGCTGAGGCAGGTGGATCACCTGAGGTCGGGAGTTCAAGACCAGCCTCACCAACATGGTGAAACCCCGTCTCTACTAAAATACAAAAAATTAGCCAGGCATTGTGGCACGCGCCTGTAGTCCCAGCTACTCAGGAAGCTGAGGCAGGAGAATCGCTTGAACCTGGGAGGCGGAGGTTGCAGTGAGCTAACATCTCACCACTGCACTCCAGCCTGGTGACAGAGCAAGTCTCTGTCTCAAAAAAAAAAAAGTTATTTTGATCAACTTCTTATGGACAAAGTTCAGAAAGCAAAGAACAATGTTTTACTACATACACATACACATGCATGCACACAAACTAGAAAAAAAAATTTTTTTGAGTGCTTTGTCTGGCATCTGGCGATGGTGTTTCCCGCACCATCTGGCCTGTGGTCTGTGGGGACGTACATACGTCTTGTTAGGGCTCTCCATCCAGTCCACACATCAATGGCTTGCCTGGCTTACGTAGTCTGAGCAGGTGCCCAGCTTTGTCGCAGATATTGAAGCCGTGTAAAATAAATGCCTTTTGATTGTTCACACTTTAAGCAATATTGGTACAATATTAAACCCATTGTCCCAGGCACTCCCTCTCCTTACTGCTTATGGCACTTCATGTATTAAAAAATGACAGTGGCAGCATTGCCCAGACATGCGTTTTGTCATCAAGTCTTAATGCAGTCCACCTGGTCCCTCAGGCAAATGAATGGAGGCACAGAAGATGAAATGATTTTCAAAATGCCATTAGGAAAGCTCAGGCCAGAACTGGAAATGGGTCCCGCACAGGGCACTCGGCCACTCTTGCCTGGCCATCTCCTTTTTGGCACTAAGCCACAAGCACACAATGATATAGAATGAATGGTTATCACTGGGGATCCAGAAGGGTCATTCAATCAGTTCTCAGTCTTATCAGGTCTAAGTTCCTTTCTTATCAGGTCCTAAAGGCCTAATCTTATCATTGTGACAAAGATAACTGTAGAGTCTGTTAAACTTTTTTTTAATAACATGAAGATTATGATTTATAGCTGAATTTCTCCCTTTTATTCCAATTCAACAATTTTCATGGCTTTTTGTGTTTGTTTTGTTCTGGACATATTTACAGAAAATTACCTGAAGAGTTCCAACCTGAGGCCTCCTCATGGATGGGTCAAACGTGACATCATTTGTTGTTGAGGAACCCACGAACATCTCAACTGGCAGGAACGCCTCAGTCGGGAATGCACATCGGCAAATCCCCATCGTGCACTGGGTCATTATGAGCATCTCCCCAGTGGGGTTTGTTGAGAATGGGATTCTCCTCTGGTTCCTGTGCTTCCGGATGAGAAGAAATCCCTTCACTGTCTACATCACCCACCTGTCTATCGCAGACATCTCACTGCTCTTCTGTATTTTCATCTTGTCTATCGACTATGCTTTAGATTATGAGCTTTCTTCTGGCCATTACTACACAATTGTCACATTATCAGTGACTTTTCTGTTTGGCTACAACACGGGCCTCTATCTGCTGACGGCCATTAGTGTGGAGAGGTGCCTGTCAGTCCTTTACCCCATCTGGTACCGATGCCATCGCCCCAAGTACCAGTCGGCATTGGTCTGTGCCCTTCTGTGGGCTCTTTCTTGCTTGGTGACCACCATGGAGTATGTCATGTGCATCGACAGAGAAGAAGAGAGTCACTCTCGGAATGACTGCCGAGCAGTCATCATCTTTATAGCCATCCTGAGCTTCCTGGTCTTCACGCCCCTCATGCTGGTGTCCAGCACCATCTTGGTCGTGAAGATCCGGAAGAACACGTGGGCTTCCCATTCCTCCAAGCTTTACATAGTCATCATGGTCACCATCATTATATTCCTCATCTTCGCTATGCCCATGAGACTCCTTTACCTGCTGTACTATGAGTATTGGTCGACCTTTGGGAACCTACACCACATTTCCCTGCTCTTCTCCACAATCAACAGTAGCGCCAACCCTTTCATTTACTTCTTTGTGGGAAGCAGTAAGAAGAAGAGATTCAAGGAGTCCTTAAAAGTTGTTCTGACCAGGGCTTTCAAAGATGAAATGCAACCTCGGCGCCAGAAAGACAATTGTAATACGGTCACAGTTGAGACTGTCGTCTAAGAACTGTGAGGGAAGTTGTGGATAAAAATGGTGGAACACAGGTCATTTTTAGTTTGTGCTTGGAATATGACTTAAGTATCTCCTAAATGTGATACAGAAGAACATCTCATCCCATATGCATGAGATACTAATTAATGATGAAATTGAACTCTTGTACTGTATCTTCTGGAAATGACCTGTCATTTCTGTACTTGACAAAGACTCTATTTCTTTCAGCTCTTTTGGCAGCATCTTACCATGAACCATAAAAATGACTTTTGCAGGAAGATTTACAGATGTGTACGGGACAAGGTAACAAAACTATTTGTTGGAACTTGAGGAGGCAGCTTGATGTAGCAGGAAGAACAAGGGTCGCTTCCTGTGTGACCTCAGGCAAGTTGTTAAACCTCTCAGAGCCTCATTTTCTCACTCATAAAATGGTTGCGGCAATAGTCTATACCTCCTTGGTCTGCTGTGAAGATGAAATGAGAAGATGAGGCTTGTAAAGCACCTGGCACATTGTGGATGTTCAACAAATATCAGTCTCTCCTCACTCCCTTCAATGGTAGACAAGATATAAATTTTTGTTTTGTAAAGCACACACACACACACACACACACACACACACACACAGCTCTATCATGTACAGAAGTTATTATGTGTTTTTACATGTTGAATGTAAATTTACGAAGGTCTTCTTTTTGCTTGCAGCATGAAAGCATTTCATGGCATTACACCTCTATTGAAAAACATCGCGGATGTTATGATCTAACAAGCCATGTGCTAGTGCATCATTTCAGGTTGTGAAGAAATACATTTGGCCACCAGTAGAGGAGTTTCTCATGGCTCCCCTTCCCTCTGTGGGAATACTAGATGAAATGAAAGTCTGTGTTTTGAAATCCTTTGATTGCATAAACATTTTTACGAATGGAGTTGAATTTATGACTTCCTGGGGGTGACTGGGACCTTCCTCCCCCATGAAGAGGTGGGTTATTTGTAGCCAGAGTTCTCACCTGCAGCCAAGTGCGGGTCTCTGCACCTGTCTGCCTCCTCTCCTCCTGAGGCTTTTTTTTTTTTTTTCATCACACCTGGAAGGAGGCTCAGTGGCAAGGGCTAATGAAAATGTGGTCACATCCTGGAGGACTCTGATATTTTTGCTCATGACAGATCCTTGCATGACTTCCTCAGAATCTTTACTCAGCACTCCAGGGGGGGCTCTGCCTCTTGCCTGCCATGAGTTGCCCTCCAGACACTGCACGTCCTGGGTTTTAGCTGTGAAGCCCGTCGCATAGCTATGTTTATTTCCTTCTGTCCCTTCTAGGAGTTCCACAAAAGGGCAATATGTCACATGATTCTACAGGTTGTAAAATGTTCAAGTCCATAGAAATGAGCCCGATAGTATTTATTTTAACCATTTGCTCTTTAAAAGGTCAGAGAGGCAGTGATGTAATTGTTCTCTGTTGCTGCTTGTCCTTCCCCATCCTCTTCCTTTCTCAAAAGAAATGATGTGGGGCAGCTTCGCTGGGGGAGAGGAGTCTGTCCCCTCGAGCAAGGACCCCACTGCCAGCCAAGCTTGGATGCAGGAGGCTTTTCAGTGGGTGACAACATCTGATTCAGAAACAAGGCAGCTTTGCTTTCAGGAGCCCAGATGGGGTGTGGAGCAATGACATTTAGAATGATCTTGTTTTTGGTTGAAAACAGAGCATTTTCCCTGGGAAAGAACAGAATATGGAGATCAGAGCAACTCCCCTCTGTTTCCTGTCCTCTCCTGTGTGTGCTGTGTGCTGGCCTCTGGGGTAGGGAAAGGGGGCCAACCTCGTCTCATCTCTAAGGGGATCTTAGTCTCAAAGAGGACCCTAAAGACTATCAGATACAAGGAATTTCTACCTAAGGAAAATATGGTGAACTAATAGGAAGCCCCTATTTATTGTTTTTCTGCAGATAAAGTGGGGAAATCGAATGTGATAATGAATATAAAAATTATTCTAACCTTTTAAAATGATGCCTTACCAAGAGGTAGGAGGTAGGATTCAGAGTTTGGCAGGGTTATAAAGACTAATTTCTTTCTGTCTTCCCCCAAACCCATTCCCAAAGTGAACTGTAAGGTTAAAACTATAACAAGAAGATTTAAGTAAATTTGCAAATATGTAGAGAATACTAAATCATTTGTATCCTTTAGGCATTCAGACAATTTGCCTAAGTCATTGTAGGTTACTAGGTGCCACTTCCGAGAATTCCTTGGGGATGGGGAGGAGATTGTTTGGATAATGCCTGTCCTAACTGAACGGGAAGGGTTTGTAGCATTCCTACTACAAAGATTCATGCACAGCCTTCTCTGCAGAACACCATGATGTGGACAAGGCAAAGACGGGGAAGCGGAAGCCGCTGTCTATGTCATAGGAGAAAGAGACACCGCATAACTACAACACCAGGCTGCACACAAGTTTGTTTGACAAGTGTTAGGAACAAAATTGTGTGGCAGAGGTCACCACAGCAGGGGCTCTTCCTGCCACCCCCATATTGCATGCAGCCTCTTCTGTTCCCTCCCCTGCCCACTGGGGTTTCTCCTCAGCACTCATCATGCCATATATCGATTTGCTTATTTGCTCGTTCTCTGTCTCTTCACGCTAGACTATAAGCTCCTTGAGGGCAGGGACGTAGCTTTGCTCACTGCTGTAGCCCCAGCTTATTTGCTGTGTTGGTCGAATCCACTGCACCCCTCTCTGGGCTGTTTCCTTTGTACATATAAATAGACTCAAATTGCTTCCACCTAACCAGAAGCCATTCCTTGCCCCACAGCCCTTTCCAGTTTCTATCTCCCCTCCCTCCCTTCCTTCCAAACCACCTTCTGGAAAGGCTCTTCCACACTCACTGTCCTGACTCTTGCCACAATTCACCCCTCAACATCCTGCCATTTGTCTTGCAGCCTGACCATCATAGAGAGATTGGTCCAGATAGGAAGGTGAGTAACTTCCACAGTGTCAAATCTGATGGGCTGTTTTCTACCTATGCCTTTTGTGGCATTTAATACCCACAGTCTTCCTGAAATTATCTCTTTTCTTGGATTCTAGTTTGCTACATTTTTCTCCAGCTCTCTTTTTGAATCCTATCTTCCTGATTGGAATCTTCTCACTTCTTTCCTCCCTCTTCTACTGCTCCTCCCTTAAATGGACACATTTTCCATAATTCAGTGGCTGGGCCTCTGCTCTCCTCTTTCTGAGAAATCTCCCTGGATCCTGATCCATAATCACCTGCTTATTAATGAACCTCAAATAGACATTTGCTGACCAGAACCCTTTGCTGGGCTCCAGTCCTGTGTGTCCAATCATCTAATGGACTTTTTGACCCAATGTCCTGCAGGTGCTTGTAACCCATTCATTTCCCCACCGTTTCTTTTTTCTTTTCTTTTCTTTTCCTTTTTTTTTTTTTTTTTTTTTTTTGAGACAGAGTCTTGCTCTGTTGCCCCAGCTGGAGTGCGGTGGCGTGATTTCGGCTCACTGCAACCTCCACCTCCCAGGTTCAAGCAATTCTCCTGCCTCAGCCTCCCAAGTAGCTGGGATTACAGGAGTGAGCCACTGCGCCGGGCCTGCCCCTATTCTTTTTTCAGTGAAGTACACCGCTGGTCACCCTGTCCCCCTTGCTATGCTATTCCCTTTGCACAGACTGCTCTACCTTTTTTTAATCTAGCAAACTCCATTTATCCATCTACGTCCAGCTCAAGCATTAGAGACTCAGGAGAGCCTCTGGAAGCTGAGTTCCTGGATAACCGTGCCATACCTTTTCTTTCCCAGACTTTCCACATCTTTCCCTTCCTCACTCTCAGCAAATGATGGCTGGCTCCCCTTTACACAAGGGGAATAGAAGCAACCGGAAGAACTCTTCCAGACATCCCCGCTGTCCCCTCTGCTGACCTAGCTCCATCTTCTTCATATCAGCCTCTCCCCTGTGTGCTCAGGGGGAACTCACTATGCCCCTCCCTGGCTAAGGTGATACCCTGGCTAAGATGCTCCAACCCCTTCCCCTGTTGCCTGCCCGATGGCATTTCGCCAGCAATTCTCCCTCTCTGTCCTGCACCATCAATTTCAGTCCAGGATAACGGAGGACAGAATTTTCAGGAATCAGGATGGAGGAGGGTTGGTGAACAGCACCACTGGCCTTGACTAGCCTGCTCCCTGCCACACATACTGGTTGTTTCTCTGGAGACAGCATTGTATGCACTGAGATGAGCAACTGGAGAGCCACCAGCAGCCATCCCCTCTCTTTGTGCCTCACAGCTCCAGTGACTGATGGAGATGGAGATGGGATCGTTGGCTGCCTTCATGGAGTTGTTTAAGGAGCACTTAGAAGATGCTTTACGGGCATCCCTAGAATTTCACCATTAGAAGAGTAGTTCTGTTAGGTTGAAATTTGTCTTTTTACTCAACCTCTTCTTAAATTAGGAATCACTTCTGGAAAGGAAAACACATCAAGCCATACATACTTTTTCCTGTGCTTTTTCTCATGGAGAGGAGCAGCACAAGACAAGACACCCAGCTGTTCAGGCTGCTGAATGAGATGGTGAGGAGTGGGTGGTAGAAGTGAAGAAAGGAGGAGGTGGGAGCAATCAAGTATTTGCTTGCTTGATTCCACAAACAAGAAGCTTCTTTTCTCTTTAACCTAACATTTGACTGTTTAACTTTGCAAGGTTATATGGGAAAAAAAATCCTTGATATGAAAACATTAGCAAATGTATCACTTATAAAATGGGTACCATCAGGCCTCCCCCTGCTTAGCACCAGAGTCTCTCTCACTGCCTCATCTACAGTTTTGTGGATCAGTCTTGTGATGCCTGAGAGTCAATGTGCAAACTGTCCTCGAACTTTAATTGATGATCTTGACAAACATTCAGGATTCTGTGAAGGAGGTAAGAGAGGTGTCACAGAACTGCTAAAATACACTTCAACTATTGATAAAAGAGCATGGAGCAGAGTTAGACCGGTTAGCAGCTGAATCAGAGGTAAATAAACAAGGATGATGATGAGATGGGAGCTTCCAAAAAGAAGCGTTTTAATATCAAATGTTGAAGAGAGGCTCTTGGGAAAACTGCTGAAGTCTTTAGATATTTTTGCAAAAATTACCCACTTTTTGATGTTCAGCAAAAGTAACCATTAAGTAAAGACAGAAAAATTGGCTGGGTACGGTGGCTCATGCCTGTAATCCCAGCACTTTGGGAGGCTGAGGTGAGCAGATCACCTGAGGTCAGGAGTTTGAGACCAGCCTGGCCAACATGGTGAAACCCCATCTCTGCTGAAAATACAAAAATTAGCTGGGTGTGGTGGTGGGCACCTGTAATCCCAGCTACTTGGGAGGCTGAGGCAGGAGAATTGCTTGAACCTGGGAGGCGGAGGTTGCAGTAAGCTGAGATCGCACCACTGCTCTCCAGCCTGGGTGATAGAGTGAGACTCCGTCTCAAAAAAAAGAAAAATTATGCCAAAAAATTAAGTACTTTTGTGGCTTAAAAGAACAATGTATTGTCATTTCTCAAGGCTCCATGGGTTGATTGAGTTCAGTTTCTCATTTGGCGTCTCTTGTAGTTGTAGTGAGTTGTTGGCTGAGGCAGAAGCCACCTGAAGGCTTGACTAGGCAGGGCAATCGAGGTGGTACACTCACAAGGCTGGTCATTTCCTGGGGCTCAGCTGGAAAGGTGGACCAGAGTTCCTACACAAGGCCCTTTGATGTGGTTTGGGTTTCTTACAACATGGTGATTGTGTTCTGGAAGGAAGTCTCCTGAGACTTAGCTTTTCCTAAAGGCCAAAAATCAGCTATTGGGGTCTCATTTGCTTAAAATTATTGGCATGTTGTTGAAATTATAATGAGTTTTAGTAAAGCAAAATTAAAACAATTTTCATGATTTTAATTTCACTTTTTTCATGATTTTCTATGAAATTTTGGTCCTCATTTTAACAAGATTCCTTTTTAACAATCTTTTACTAAAACCAGTCATTCATGGATAAGGAGATCCTCTTACACTAATTATTTAAATGTGTACATATACATGTTAATACAAAGGGTTGAATTGTTAAAGCAAATTCAGAGTGACTTACAGATCTTACCCAACATGAAACTAATGATTCAAATGATAAGAGGCAAGTGCCAGGCACAAATGAAACACTCTTTTCTGGAGGAGACCAACAGTTTTAATTATTTCTGGGGTTTTTTTGGTCAAATTTCTCATGTTGCTTCTAGATTGTTTTCCAAATGTCATTTAGTTTTCTATCTGTACTTTTTGTGATTCTCTGAATTCTCTGTCAGACATTTCGGAGATCTTCAATTCTTCTGGGTCCATTGCTACAGCTTTGTTATCTCTTTTGATGTTGTCGTTTTCCCCTGAGTTTTCACAGTCCTTGCACTTCACGTCGATCCCCGTGCAATTGAGAAGATAGTCACCTCTGACAGTTTTTTAAGGGTTCTTGGTGGTGTCAGAGCTTTGCTACTTAGTATTGGAACTTAAACTCTGGTCTGTTGTTTCTTCCTGTTCTGAGTGAGACTTGCGGTGAGCACTGGAACTTAAACATTGCCCTGGAACTATATTGCTGCTCTGTCAACATTTCCCAGTTCAGGGAAGATGTAAGTGGGTATCAGAACTTAATCTTGAGCTTTTTGTTGTTTCCAGGCCAGGGGAGGGCTCTCGAGTATACCTAGGCTCGTGGAAAATGCAGCCAGGGATTTGGACCTCCCTGTGGATTGTGCCAGCCAGTCCCTTCACCATGGTGTCCCCACTGATCAGAGCTCAGAGTGCACCAGTACACCAGTTGCTGCAATCAGTGCTTGGCTTTTTGTCCCCAGTTCACCCCAGGTCATTCAGCTATCCTGGCATTCCCAGTGGTTCCTGTGGGACGGGGCCAGAGTGGGTGTCCCATGAAGATGACCAGATCAGTGGGGAGATAAAATGCTCACCTGTAATTCTCTCCTGTCACCTTGGAAACCATGGATCTAGAGACATTCTCTGAGTGACACTATGCCAGCTGGGAGTGGTGGCACAGTCCGAATTGATTGTTTCTCTTACCAGTTCTGGCTTCTTTCAATTCTGTGGACCTAGGGGGTTTCTCAGCTTCTCCCCAAAGTTCTGGTGAATTCAGGGTGGTGTTCTTGTCTTTGAATAGTTGGAATCTATTTCTGTGGGGGGAATGGTTCCAGAGAATCTTCTATTCTGCCATCTTGTTGAGCTCTCCCAAAATGTCCCCTTCTCCTACATTGGCACACGCTTTGGTTTCACATTGACTGATGAGTTTTGAGCAACGTATACAAAGAAACATTGTTCTCAAAGGAAACTGGTGAAGTTTGGGGGTGCCTCCATTTTGCACGTTGTTCATTACACAAGTAGAATATACTTATGTGACTACCCGTACCCTTTCTCCAGCCTCCCTGCCCCATAAACCTATAAATCCCAAATTTATTTATAATAGACAATCTTGACAGATTAGGTATATCCTGCTGGAAATAGGACTAGTTCACTGAGTATAACGTTTCTACAGAGCAGTCTGATTGAGGTCTTCAGCATCTTTGCAAGGTGCCCTGGTTGAGGTTATTGTTCCGCAGGCACTCCTGTGGGGAAGGAGTGATTTGCAGGCTTCATGCTGACATTACCTGTATGGTACATTTTGGCCAACACCAGCCTGTTAATGCCTGAGGCAGAGGCCTCTGGAATGAGAAAACAGGACTGGAAGCCTGCCTACTTAGTAGCTTGGCAAGTGTCAACAAGTTAATCTCTGTGACTGGTGACTTAGTTGGAGTTCCACCCAAAGCAGATCCTGAGACAAGGATTTAGTGCAAGTAATTCATGTGGCCATCATCCAGAGGAGCATGGGAGAAAGTGGGGAATTTAGACAGGGAAAGGAGGAAGTTAGCAAAGGGTGAGTGAAGGAGAACAAGGGCCCAGGACAGTGAGGCCCCACCTCAGAACTGCCCTCCTGGAAGGGCGAAGGAGCCGTGGCGCCGACCCCCACCTCCTGCCCCTCAATAGGGAGCATCACTCCCCGACGTCAACTCCCAGCTCTTCCTGGCCTGCCCTGTGCTCAGGCCGAGCATGGCCTAAAGCAGGGAATATGTCTAGGCAGAGTGACACAGGGAGCCATGGGCAGGTACAGGATCTACCTGCAAGTGACTACAGGGGTGGCTTCAGGGCTGACCAATGGCATCTGCTATCATGGAATTAAAGTAACCTACCCCACGAAGTAGCTGTGCCAAGTAAGTGAAATAATGCACAAGGAAATTCTGTGTAAACTTTCAAGCATCAAGCAAATGTTAGTTATTTCTTGAGGACGTTATGTAAAGTGATATAAGCCAGGCCCGGAAGGACAAAGACTGTATGATTCCACTCATATGAGGGGCTTAGAGTTGTCAGATTCATAGAGACAGAAGGTAGAATGGTGGTGGCCGGGGGCTGGAGGGAGGAGGGAGTGGGGAGTTAGTGTTTAGTAGGAACTGAATTTCAGTTTGAGGAGATGAAAATGTTCTGGGGATCTATTGCACAACAATGGACATGTAGCTAACCCCACTGTACTGTATTCTTAAAAATGTTTCAGATGGTAAATTTTATGTTATGTATATTTTACCACAATAAAGAAGTGAGTTATTGTACTTTCAAGGCACTCGGTGTGTTTCTCAGGATGCTGGGCAGCCCATGGCCCCGAGACAGGTGCCAAGTCAATACTTGGGTGATGAAGGATGAAGACAAACCTCCTCTTCATCTTCACTCCAGTGAGTGGAGCACTGGCACTGTTGCCAGTGAGAGGCAAAGACACGAGGCCAATTCAACAACCCACCTCAAACCTGTATTTGCAAGTGAGTGCAGACTCCCCTGATTCCAATGAAGCTGCTGTTGAGGGCCGGATAGCAGCCACTCTTGGCTTTGCGGGCCGTACAGTCTGTGCTGCAATGACAACTCTGTGGGTGTGTGAAAGCAGACACTGCTTAGATGAACGAGGATGGCGGCACGCCAACAAATTCATTATGGACACTAAAAATTGAATTTCATGTAATTTTCATGTCATAGAAATTCTTTCTTTTCCCCTTCAACCATTTAAAAATGTAAAAAAACTATTCTCAGCTTGTGGGTTTTACAAAAACAGGTGGCAGCCAGATTTGGTAGTGGCCGGACTTTGCCACCTCCAGCCTGGAGTGTTTTGGGAATTCCCCATTCTGAAATGGTCTCCAGTGTGGCTGCAGCACGTCCATTTGACAATCCTGACCTCGGTGGTGGCAAATCTTCCTTGTTTCCTGGTGGATTTAACTTTGCAGAAGGACCAGCAGACATCCTGACCCAAACCTGATGGATGAGATTGGTGTAAAGTGGAGAAATTCTGTTTTGGATTAATCACAAGGAGATTTAAAAAACGAGAGATTTTCTGTAGTAAGTACATTGCCTGTAAATAGAATTCCAATTCTACATGCTCAGGGACCATTTTGTTCACTTGTATCAAACTATATTCTCTGGATTCAGAGGGAATTATTGGAACTTTTCAGAGATCAGGAATAAAATGTTCATGCATGAGAATTTTGTGTTGGGCTTTTAGAAGGATAAGGATCTCACATATGGCTTCTGGGTACAGCATGAATAAAATGCAGTTGCTGACAAATTAAAAACCAGAACGTTCCTCATATTGGGTTGATTAGCACTTGCAGGTTCTGTACCATCACTATCCTTAACGAGGAACATAAGCCTTGTCCCAAGTTGCAGGATAAATATTTCAGGAACTCAGTTGCAAAGGTCAGTATTACATTGATTTATTGATGTATGCTTTTAATCAAATGAACCCTTTAGAATTAGTTGCCCTTAGGCAAATGTCAGAAGCTCAAAACATTCCTTAAAATACTTAAAACAAAATAATGACACAATAAAACATCATTAAAAATCCTTCAGGCTCATTAGCTCTAGTTAAAGATGGTTGAATGCTTATGATAATTGAATTGAGCCACTGAGCACTTCCTGTCTTTCTTCTTCCAAGAGGAGAGAAAATAGATGAGGGCTGAGAAGCAGTCTTCCTTCTGCATGTGACTAAGCTAGGAGCTTGCTAACCCAGTGAGTGCATGACAATGCTGATAGTATTTTTGGAGGGTTTAGCATCCCCAAATCTTTTCTTTTATTTCTACAGACCAAGAACAAGGGTATTTCCCTGTTGAATTTTAGGTGTAGACATATGGAAAAGAATAATCTATATTATCTTTAGATGGATAAAGCTTGCCTATCAGCCTAGTGGCCTGTGTCAGTCCTCGACGTCCAGCCATTTTCTCCTCCAGGACAGTGGCTCAGCATCCTCTCCCACAACGCTTCGAGCAATATCATGTTAGACAGTTCCTGCTTGCTTTGACTTCTCCTTGCAGACCTCCTGCCCAGCTGGTATGGCCTGAAAGCTTGTGTACTCCCAGATTCATATGTTGAAATCCTAACCCTTCATGTGACGGTATTTGGAGGTGGAGTTCTTGGGAGGTAAGTGGGTGCTGAAGATAAGGCCCTCATGAATGAGATTAGTGCCCTTGAAAAGGAGGCCTCCCATTACCTCCCTCACCCCTTCCACCACGTGAGGACACAGTGAGAAGGTGCTGTCCATGAACCAGGAAGCAGCCCTCACCAGACACTGAATCTGCCAGTGCCTTGATCTTAGACTTTCCAGCCTCCAAAAGTGTGAGAAACAAATTTCTGTTGTTTATGAGCCACCCAGTTTATGGGATTTTGTTATAGCAGCATGAACAGACTAAGACACCAACTTTTGATCATTTTCCTTATTTTTCATAAAGTTGCTGAACAGAAGTGAGGGAAGACGATGCCAGTGACAGCAGAACATTGCTGAGGGCTGCAGAAATATGACAGCCCCTGGGCCCCTGCACTTCCCCTCCCTGCACAGACAAGAGTATGGTGAAGAACGGAATGAAGTTATAACGCTTGGGAAGTGGCCTGTGAGGCCTGATGAGCCCATGTTCTTTCTCTCACGTGGTAAGAAATGACCCCGAGTGACCAGAGGGGCTCATCAGAGCTGATCTGAGTTCAGTAAAAGGGCTGATGTGGAAGATGAGGCAGAGAGTGGACCTTAGATCTCAGAAGTGTCTGTTGGATGATGGAGACCTTCACAGAGAACACTTTCTCAGGAAGCGTTCCCAGCAGAGGTCTCAGCCCCTGGCTGATTCACAGCCTGCATTTAGAACGGAGATTGAGTCAGAGGAGATTCCACCTCTCCATGCATTCCCACAGTCCTGAAACTAGTCAGTGTTAGAACCAGAATTCAAACTGACGGTCTGAGCCCAGAGCTCTGCTCTTCATCTTACCCAGTATTACATTCATTCCCATATTGACTGAAGATTCACTTTCACTGTTATCATGAAAAGT